>NW_018654716.1:0-165120 GCF_000001405.40 Homo sapiens
CCTCGGGGGGAGACCAGGTGCTGTGGCCCACGTGGGCATCGGTGCAGGGCTGGCCCAGGACTGCCCCTCCTCTGCAAAGACAGGCTCCAGGGAATGGCGGAGCAGGAAGCAGTGGTGTAATTTTGGAGGAAATTCTCAAAGCCAGAGCCATTAAGGGCTAGAGGGGGGCTGAGTCCAATCTGATAGAAATATAACAGGATAAAAAGTCACAACGGCAGGTTTCGTTCAGAGAGAAACCCAACCCCAAATTTCCTCTCCCTAATCCTGCAGGAGCCCACAGCTGGCCAGAGGGAGGGGAGGAGAGGACAAGCTCAGTCACTGCAGAAGCCTCCGCCCGCCGGGAAGCCAGGGCCCGGGGGACACGGACATGCAGCTAGGGGCTGACGCAGCCCCTTCCCTTCTTGGGAGCTTTCCTCACACCCCCGCCCCGCCACCCTCCCAGGCACCAAGGCGCTGGTGAGTGAGGAGCAGGGTGGACCCAGGAGCATGGCCAGGCCGGGCACTCTGCATAGCACCCTAAGGCCCACGGCGCCCACGCCAGCCCTCCCTCCACTGGGCACTGGGTGTAGTTCTGTAGGGAGGGTCCATAGCCCACCTACCCCTCACCTCCAGGCCTCCCATTTCCAGACCTGGGCCTAGTGGGGGTTGCAAACCTCCACATGAACCCCCAACCTCAGTGGCCGGTCAACGTTGGGGACAAATGGGATGGAAGATAGTGAAAGTCTCCAGGGCAGGGACATCAGGGGCTGCTGGCCTGAGCGGGCAGGTGCGGGGCGTCGGCGGCCGGCACCAAGGACAGGGCAGAGCCAGCTCAGAGCGGGAATGCAGGAGGCCAGACAGGAGCAGGTGGGAAGGTGCGGGCCAGCATGGGGAGGTCTGGGCAGGGTCAAGAGGGAGTGCAGGGGAAAGAGACGTCAGAGCCCCCGTGGACTGGGGTCAGAGTTTGGGGTGTCTAACGAGGCTAGAAGAAAGTGAACAGGGAACAACGACCTGGAGGCCTCGGAGCTGAAAGGATCCCCAGGGCCCTGCTGGTTGGGGTGCAGCACTCACAGCCAAGCCCTCCGCTGCGGGCCTGACTCCGACCGCGGCTGCAGCTTGGCCAGCCTCAGGCCTGGGCAGCCAGCCCAGCCGCTCCCTGAGCTGCACCGGTAGCAGCGGCCGAGGGCCCGGCCCGCCAGCCAGCAAGAGGGGAGGGGCGGGGGAGGAACACTCCGTCACCCTCCACTGCTCCAGAAATTCAAACCAGACCGGGGGTGGCGTGGGCTGACCCCCAGGCCTGCGGCAGCCCACCCGAATCCACTCGTAGCTCACAGCCGCCGGGCAGACGAGTGGCAGGTGCTCCCTGCCCACCACAGCCCCTGGCTCCCTTCCCAGAGTGCTGGCCTCACCTCCACAGAGACCCAGGGCTCCCTCCGCCTGTGCCCCACAGAGGCAGCTGGGACGGAAGGGGCCCCAGCCTGCACCCTGGGCCAGCAGCCGCCCCTGCGAGCCGAGCTGGGCTGGAAACGCTCTGCTGGGCCTCAGCTGTCAGCTCCTGTCCCCGGCCTGGGGAACGAGCTGCTGGCGGGACACATGATTCATCACGGTCGCCTGCGCCCACCACCCGCCCCGCCCAGCGCAGCACCTGCGGGCTGCCAGGAAACACATGTGACCCCTCCGGGTCAGGCCCCGCACGGAGAGCCCCGGCCGGCCGGCCGGGGGCACACACAGACCCAGCATCAGGGCTCTCCTGGGGGCCGCCCAGCCCCAAGGACAGGCCCCCAGCCCAGACTGCACCGGACACAGGCCGCAACCGGCTGATGTGTCGGCTGGGATTTTTCCGCTCTCGATGAGCCCCCTTCCCTCCCCCTCCCCAAAGTGGCTGCAGCTGTCAGGACCACAGATTGGAACTGCAGGTATGGGGCTGGCCCGCTGCCCGCCTCCTCCCGTGTCTGTCTGCGAGAGAGGAAGCCGGCCCACCTCTGGAATCCTTCACTCTCTCCTCGTTCCGCCTCTCCCACCTGTCCCCCGGGAGCGTGGGGTCAGCCGCCCTCGCTCCGTCTCTCTCTTCCCCAGCCCCTCTCCGATTACAATGCGGGTAGTGTTCAGCGTTCGCGCCGCTCCCCTGCACAAAACGCCCGCCTGTCTCGGAGCGCCACACGGCCTTCCTGTGCGACGTGAGGCCGCCTCCTCTTCCTCAGGGTTTTATCTGTTGAAGTGCTCAGGGCAAGGCCAGGGCGGGAGGCTCACCTGCTGCATCTCACCCTACTGAAGGTTCCAGCAGGGGTGCTGGGCCCTGGCGCCGGGGCCAGAGGGGAGAAAGCCAGGTCCTGCTTAGTCTCCTCCTCCTCAAAGTCCAAACCAGCTGAGCGAACCCCCAGCCCAAGGTGGGGCCCCAGGCAGGAGGAGCCACCAGCCCAGACGCCCTCAGCTCCGGCCCGGCTCCCGCCAACCACGCATCTGCCCTTCTAGAGGCTGGGCACACAGCTCGGCCTTCTCCCGGCACCTCCACCACTGGAGAGAAGCCACTACTGACCCAGGGGTCCTTGCACCTCCACAGCTGGGAGGGCAGCAAGTCACCTCCTGGGGGTCTGCAGGCTGGAGAGAAGCCACTACCGACCCAGGGGTTCCTCCAGACCTGGCCTGCCTCGGTCTCTGCTGGGGCTGACCCAGGGACAATAGCTGTTCCCAGGCAGAGCACCCCAACGCCTGGCATCTCATAAGCAGGGGCTCCCAGAAACCAGGATGCTAGGGGTGGGGCACAGGCTTGGGGCATGACACCCCAAACACCCCCCACCGACACCCACCAGTGCTCACCCCTCCTCGGCCTGCTCTGAGCCCCACAACTCAGAGCTACAACTTCCAGGTGGGGTGGGGACAGGGCTCTAGAGGTCCACACCCGCTCAGCCCCCAACTCCGGACACCTCCAAAATCTCATTCTGGAGACTTTTCCCCCAGTCCTGATCCGTGCACACACACGTACCTGGGACTCCCGTCCCCTGCAGAACAGCCCCGGCCTTGGGACGTACACCCAGACCCAGCTCTCCCCAGCCGGCCTCCCCAGAGGGCCCAGAGCCTGCAGCCGTCACCACCTGCCCAACAGACCTTGCCCTCCAATGCCTTCCCCGGCTCCACTCCACAGGCTGCTCTGCCAGCCCCAGGGCAAAGCCTCCGCTCAAGAGCCCTGTAGAGCACCCCCCGCTGCCCACCCGGGTTCCAGCTGCCAAGGACACTGGCCCCGAGTGGGCACAGCAGGCCAGGGCCCCCACCACCCTTGCAGCCCACAAGCAGGAGGACGCGGCTCTGAAGAGGCCACTCCCACCTACCAGCCACTGCCCAGCCCTGCTTCATCCGAGAGCCCAGGGTACCCCCATGAGGGCCCTGGCTTCCCTGCCCCTCATCACTGACCCCAGGGTCTCTCCTCTCCCAAACCGGACAACTGAGTGCAGCAGGCCAGGCCTAGGAGGGCCTTCAAGCCGGCCAAGGGGCACGCGGCAGTCAGGCTACACACACCCACCCACAGCCTGGGTAGCAGGGCGCGCCCGTTTCCCTCCTCAGTGGAAAGGGACCAGACCCGAGGGCCAGCCCCAGCCCAGTCAGCAGCCCCCTCGGAGGCAGGCATGCAGGCGGCCGCGGGGGTGGATGGCCGCCAGGGAGATTGGGGCGGTCTGCAGGCCCGGGCGCCCTCCACAAGCAGCGTGGGGAGGGCCGTTCGCTCGCCGGGAAACCTGAGCCGAGGCCGCGCCGCCAGCAGCGACGCAAGCCTGAGTGCGCGGGGCCAGGACGCGGGGGCGGGGGCGGCCCGGAGGAGCGGAGGCCGCCAGCACTGGAGGCAGCTGCCGGTTCAGTAGCTGGGAGAAGCCATTAACGGCGCTTGGCGCGAGAGCAGAGGGGACCACGGGCTCTGGACGCAGACAGGCCCGGCTGCATCCCTGCGGGAACCTGACTCACAGCCCAGGCAGGGTCAGGGGCACCGAGGAGCTGCCAGGCTGCACCCCAGCCCCAGACTCCAGACTCCAGTGGAGGCCTCGTGGGGGACGGCCCCAGGCCAGCACCACGGGGCACAGGAAAGGGACAGCAGAGGGCGGCTCCTCCGGCCAGAGTGGACGGCCACCCAGATCCCTCAGCCTGCTACGCTTTCCTGACAAACACGGCCACAGGCAGGGGGAGGGTGGGTGGCTGCATCCTCTGCCTGAGCAGCCACCCGGCCTCAGTTTCTCCCAACCGCTCAAATCAAAGCGGAGGGGCTGCTTCGGCAAAGGCCGAGAGCCCCCTTGCCCCGCCCCTCCACCCCGGCCCACCTCCCCGGGGGTCCCAGCGGCTGGATGAGATCACGTCTGTGAAGCTCCAGGCGCGGTGGGAGAGGGGTGAGGTGGCCATGCGGGGGCGGGGCAGCCGCAGCTCAGCCGGCTCCTGGGGGCCCCCCACTGCCGGCGGCAGGACCCCAGCCAGGCCCAGCGCCTCCTCCAGGGGCTCCGCCCGCCTCCCTCCGCCTGCTCGCTGCTGCCTGCGCACCTGGGGGAGGGGAATAAGACACCAAGAGCTGGAGTACAGCTCTCCTGTGAGGGGCTGCTCAGGTCTTCAAAAGTCAGCGTCCAGCAGGGGGTCCCTGAAGCCCCAGTGTCATCCAGGTCCAGGCCCTGGATCCAGACCCAGGAAGGGCAGGGAAGTGGCCTGAGGAGAAGGGGAGGTAGGTGGGCAGGGGGTGGCAGGGAGGCACCTCCCACCAGCAGGAGCTTGGCCCGAGACCTTCTCAGCATCACAGCCACTGCCACCCACGCGCTCCAGCTGAGATCGCCGCTCGCAGGAGCACACGCCCCAGCGGCGCCCTCCCTGCCCTGCTACCAGGGGCCCTCTCCACAGCCCTGAAGGGCCCCGGCAGTGAGGTCGGCCCTCTCTCAGCCAGCTCTGCCCAGTGCCGAGGAGGACCATGGTCCTGGTGCCACGGCCACCTCCAAGGACACGGGGCTGCCTGACGGGCCCTGCTCTCCTCACCCCACTGTCTCATGGGAGAGCTGCAGGCTGTCTCCCACCTCCCAAGCCTCTTTCCTGCCCACCTGTGGCCCCAAATCACTCCCCTAGGGCCACCCCACTTTGCTCCAAGGGAACAGAGGCCCAGGCAGATGCGCACTTCTCTGGACGGGAGGCATCTGTCCGGGCCTGGCCTGGCTCCTGAAAGCTGAGCTCTGCCGCCCCCTCGAGCCACTGGCCGGCTGTGCTGGCAGGAGCACCGGGCAGCACCCGGGCTCCCTCGCTGTCACTCAGACCAACATATGGGATAGTCATCACTGGAGGAAGCAGCCCCCACATCCCTGGCCGGCTTCCTCCCAGCACAGCAGGGGGCTGCCCACCCGGCAGGCGGCGGTGGCACTGGACAGGCCTGGCAAAGCACCCCCAGGGGCAGCAGGGTCCCACAGGCCCCGCCGAGGCCCCTCCCCCGGCCTCCGCGCTCCGTTTACAATCATCATCGATTTCTCAAAATACCAAATATAAAAAAGTAGCCGACAGGATGTGGCTGCCGACAGCCAGAGCCCCTGGGAGGGGGAGGGGAGACAGGCAGGGAGTGCGCGGCGTGGCCCCCCCGCTCTGAGTGAGCCCGCTGCTCCGGCCAGGAAACCAATTTATTTTGTTTTGTCTCTGTTCTCTGAACGCGCAGCAGAGACCGGATCGGGCGGGCGGCCAAGGCTCCTGCAGCCACAGCCAAGAGAGCCGAAGGATGGGGGAAGAACCTGGGGGGAGGGGGGCGCGTGTCTCCCCCAGGCCCCCCGGGGACAGTTCCTGACAGGCAGGCAGGAAGAGCTCCTTCAGGAAGGCCCTACACCAAAGCCTTCTCCTTCCCCCACAGCCCCCAGGGCCCAAAGGAGACTCTGCCTCACACCCAGGTGCTCCACTGGGACCACAGTCCTACCCTGGGGCCAGGCCACACTGAGGAGGGTATAGGCAGGCACTGCCTCTGGCTTCAGAGCTTCTCAGAGCTTCCAGCCCCTCCCAAATGAGGGCAGCCCCCCGCAGCCAAATCTGCTCTTGGACACAGCCCAGTGCCAGCCTCTCCACGCCGGCGGAACCCAGCCCGGTGCCAGCCTCTCCACGCTGGCGGAGCCCAGCCCGGTGCCAGCCTCTCCACGCTGGCGGAGCCCAGCCCGGTGCCAGCCTCTCCACGCTGGTGGAGCCCAGCCCAGCAGCACGCATCCCCCTTCGCCTGCAAGCTCCTTATGAGAAACAGCCGACCTCCTGCCCCTCCTGAGATGTGCTCCTGGGACTCAGTCAGAGGTCCAGAGGCAACGGCCCCAGCCCACATCAGCCACCACCAGGGGTGGGGGGCAGGGGGACCCCAGGGGAAGGGAAGGGCCACCACTGCCCAGAACATCAGGACATTAGGAGGTGGCCCTGGCCCTGTTCTGCCCGCCTGGCCCCCAGCCAACCTGTGGCCCACCCCACAGCACACACGACAGGGGCACCACCCATGCCCGTGACCCCCACCCCGACCATGACCCCCACCCAGACCATGCACGCCACGCCCAGGGAGCCCACAGCCACCCTGCAGACGCCACAGGAGCCCCCAGAGCCCGTCCACAGGCCAGACACAGGGGCATGGAGCCACACCCAGGTCCTTCCCCTTCACAAGCCATGATGACACACATACATTGCAGTCTTGTGTCCCAGACCCCGAAATTGCTCTTGCAGATGGGGAAGCAGGACGCCCACGTGGGCCTCGGCTCCAACAGTGCGGCCCACCTGCGGCAGGTCCCAGCACCCCCAGGGCAACCCCAGCCCCAACCCCCAGCACCTGCTAGGCTGTGATGGAAGCCGCCCCACCCTGCCCAGTGGGAAGCAGCCCCAGTCCTACCTCCTCATCAGAGCTGTCCTCCGCATACTCATCCCCAATCCGGGCGCTCGCCATCTCTGTCCTCGGGCAAGGAGTGCTGGCCTGCAGAGAGAGAGAGAAAATGGTCACTTCAGGGGATACAGGGTACCCTTTGACCTTGGGGGGATCCCAGGAAGCCCACCACCCCGAAATCTCTGAGCAGCTCCAGCCTGGCACAGGCCTCAGCACAAGGCCGAGAACACCCAGCTCTAAGGGGGCCTCTGGGGGCTGTGGCTGGCACCCGGCGCCGCAGGTCCTGCCCACGGCCCTGTCCTCTGTGAGGGCTGGACTGCAGCCTCCCGGGGCCTCTGTCCCTGGGCTGACACGGGTGTCAGGCTAGACACGGAAGCCACTGGGGCAGTCAGGAGCAAAGCCGCCAGCTGAGGACCAAGACCCACCGCCAACCACCCGTACCCCCATTCATGTCAAAGCCACAGGACTCCTCCCAGGGGCCCCACATGGCGCTCCTGCCGAGCCCCGCCTGGGACGGGGGCAGCATGGTCGGGGGGAAGAAGGAGACGCAGCCGTCGCAGCAGGGTCACTGGGGCCAATGCTCTTGAAGGGGCGGGGGACACACATTGTCCACCCATCCCGGGGGCCACGTCCCGCCCAGTCCAGCCAGCAGAGGGCCCAGAGAGGGCCCCGAACACTCAGAAGGCCTGCCCAGCGTTCTCCCACCCACCACGTCCACAGCCCAGGCTGACCCCATCCCGCCGGGTCACAGAGTGGGCGCCACTGAGAATTCACATCCCAACCTGGAAAACAGATTCTGCCCTCGACTGCGGAGGTGAGGATGGCTCCAACCGGATCGGGTTTACTGGCGGAACCAAGGCTGATGGGGAAAACAGGCCCACCTCTCACCCGTGGGGGCAGTAAAGTGCTCGGGCGCAGGAACCCCAGAGCGAAGGCGGGCACGCCCCCGCCCCCACCCCGAGCCCCTCTTCTCTCCGGCCCGGGCTCCTCCCCTGCCTGTTTTTTCCTTCAATATAAAGAGAGATGGGAGACTAAGTTTTTTCCCAGGCCAGGAACAAGGAAGGATTCAGTTTCCACGTCTCCCCCTGCTGCTGACAGTGGCCTGGGGCGCTCAGTGACACGGAGCTCTTGCCCCTGCCTGGAGCACATGAGCCCCCACAGCCGCAGCAGATCCGTGACCCCGGCCCCAAGCCCCAGACGCGCACAAGGGCAGTTCCACACCCGGCTGCGGTCGGCTGCCCCCGCCTGGCCTCTGCGGACGGGTACCGGGCTGGGCTCCCGACCCCTCACAGTGGCCGGGGCTGAAGCACCGCACGCTGGAGTCCCAGCCTCGCTGCTCATGGGCCGCAGTCCCAGGGTCCTGGCAGGTGACAAAAGACTTGTCACCCAGCGCTCTGTGCCCCGTGGCCCCTGTGCTGGATGTGGACAGGCCACGGCACAGGCAGGCTCTGGGCAGGGGGCAGAGGTGGCCTTCGAAGGTGCTGGGTTCCCAGGGGCGCAGCATCCCCGTGGGACAGCTGTGGGGCACAGAGTCCACCAGGGGGCGACGGCGCTCAGCCAGGCCCAGCGCCCGAAGGGCAGGGGCGGTGCGGGCAGGGGCGGTGCGGGCAGGGGCGGCCACTGCTGGGAACTGCCTGACCTAGAAGGCCCCTTCAGATTTTGGAGGCAGATGCTGTGGGGCATTGAACGTATTTTTTTTAACTTAAAAATTAGAGGAAAAGGCCACCAAAACCCTAACGACACAGACAACGGAACATGAGCCCACGCCACGCTCCGGACTCCTGGGGACAGGACCCCCTCCCGCCACGCCCATGCCTGGAGTCAGCCCGGATTCTCCAGGGTCTCCAGCACCACCCGCAGTGTGCGTGGCCTGACTGAGGAGGGGTCGGGCCCGATGGAGCACGAGAGTTGCGTGAGGGTGAAGTAAAAGCTGAGAGAGTGGGCGGGCGAGCGCCACTGGGCAGAGGCAGGCGGGTCTGAAGGACCGACGGGTGGGCAGGGAGCCGCCGAGGGGGAGCGCAAGGACGAGGTGCCAGCAGGATGCGGGGCCGCTGGGGCCAAGGAAAGGCTGCTGTAGTCCCTGAACCCTGCGTGGCCTCTGCCCAGCCCCAGGGCTAGAATGTCACCATGAGGACCAAAGGGAGAAACCCACAGTGGGCTCAGCCAGACAGAAACGGTGTCCAAGCGCATGAGCCCCCTATTGTGACCACACCAGAGCCTCCCCTCCCCAGCATCAGGCCAGCCAGGCCGTGCCCCACTGCCACCAACCAGGCATGAGACACGGGCTCTGCCCTCACCTCCTGGGAGAGGATGGCGACAGAGCTGCGGTGTCCCGGTTCGGTGGGAAGAGAACTCTGCTCCCAGGGCTGCCCACAAGAGGGTTCTGCTGGAGACGTGGACAGCAGGAGGGAAGCAGTCCTAACTTGCCCAGAGACCAGAGCCAGAACATCGCTGTCGGGGTGCCAAGGACACCAAGACAACCCAGCGCTGCACCACAGACCCCACACCCAGCACCTCAGCACGGCCAAGGCTCCCTAGGGCCCTGCCCACGCTAGCCGCAGGGTGCCCAGCACAGAGACAGGCTGCTATCCAAGAGCTCTGTGCCGATGGCTCGTGTGACAGCAACGACTCATCAACAGGTACCTAGGAAACCCACATTTTGTTTTAAAGAAAGTACATCAGCAGGAACTGAAAAGCCCAGAGAAAATACAGCCGAAAAACATCCCTTTTTACTCAGGGAAAAGGAAGGTAACTCGGGGCAGGAGCCCAAGAGTGGCAGGGTCGTTCCCAGGCATGGAGGCCAACCCTGCATGAGGCACTGGCCATGTGTGCTGCCACCAGAGGCCCCAAGACCACCACGGGCCATGACCACCAAGGGCCATGACCGTCACGGGCCACGACCGCCATGGGCCATGACCCCCATGGGCCTCAAGACCACCACAGGCCACGACCACCACGGGTCTCAAGACCATCATGGGTCTCAAGGACAGGCCCCAAGACCACTGCGTGCCACGACCGCCACAGGCCCTAAGACCACCATGGGCCCCACGATCACCACAGGCCACAACTGCCACAGGTCCCCTATACCACCATGGGCCCTGACGATCACAGGCCACAACCACCATGGGCCACGACCACCACAGGCCCCAAGACCACCACGGGCCAAGACCACCATGGCCAAGACCACCACCAGCCATGTGCTCAGCCACCTTAGGACCACCACAGACCAGAGACCACTCCACAGCACTGTGACTCGGTGCCCCACTGCAGACAGCTGTGCAGAGAGGGGCCCAAGGACCCCCATCTATCAGGCCTGGTTTAGATGAGACCCTGGCAGTGGAATGAGGTTCTGGGGAGCGCTGGGGGAAGAGACTATTTGGCAAGCGTAAGGGTGACTGTGACCATTTTAAAACACGGCCACAAACCTTTGATTTTCATCGCATCAAGAGACAGAGTCTATGTCCCCCCCGCCGCAAATCTGGGTGGGCTTGTGGCTGCTTTACCCACCCAAGGGAGGCAGCCCACACTGACACCACAGGATTCTGGGCTGAGGTCGTGAAGGCCGTGTGGCTCTGCCTGGCACAGGAGACCACGTCCTTGCAGCCCTGAGCCCTGGGAGAGGGGACAGCTGGACAGGGGTACCCTTCGTGAACATGGCTGTCAGGGGCGGTCTGGACACACAAGAGGCCCGGCTGTGCTCACCTGAGATCCTCACCCAAGTCCCAGAGCACAGGATGTGAGCTGAGTGTCGATCTTCCTCAGGTGGAATGTACCAGAACCCTCTGGGGCTCCCCGGCCCCTCAGCATGACACTGTACTCAGGGTGTACTGACCCTGCTGCTTTCGGCCTGAACTCTGACCCCTCGAATCCAGAATGCTACAAAATATCTGTTTGATGCTGCAAAGTGTCAGGGCAGGTGGCAGAACAGCTGCCTGACTCCCCCATGGGGGCCAAGAAGCTTGGAGCTGGCAGTCTTCAAAAGAACCCAAAGCAAGGCCACAGGCAGAGGCAAGAGCGGAGTTTACCACCAGCCCTGGCCCCTGGTTCCATCCCCAGCTCTGTGGTCCACACCCAGGCAACTTCTCCACCACTGACCAGCTGGTGAGAATCACTGGGCAGCCCCTTTCCAGACTCCACAGAGCTGCAGCTCCAGACCACTCTCCAGCAGACGGCACCAGCACCCAGACCCCAGAACCACAGCGACAGGGGGCCCGAGCCCAGGGTTCCCACGCTGCAGCAACGCGGCCTGCCACCTGCCATTCCCAGAGCCTTCGCTGAGACGCTGGCGGGATCCCCTGCCCAAGAGTGTGCATTATGCTCCGGCACAGGCCAAACTCTCCTTAAATTATCTGGGAAGGCCGGGCCCAGTGGCTCACACCTGTCATCCCAGCACTTTGGGAGACCGAGGCAGGCGGATCAGTTGAGGTTAAGAGTTCGAGACCAGACTGGCCTACATGGAAAACCCTGTCTCTACTAAAAATACAAAAAATTAGCTGGGCTTGGTGGCGCTCACCTGTAATCACAGCGGGAGGCTGAGGCAGGAGAAAGAACTGCTTGAATCTGGGGGGTGGAGACTGCAGTGAGCTGAGATCAGGCTATTGCACTCCAGCCCGGGTGACAGACAGACTCTTGTCTCAGAAAAAAAAAAAAATCTGGAATCATCACTTTAATACCAGGTCTTCGGCCTTCTCTCACTTTCATACCAGGTCTTAGGCCTTCTCTCAGTTTAATACCAGGTCTTTGGCCTTCTCTCACTTTAATACCAGGTCTTCGGCCTTCTCTCACTTTCATACCAGGTCTTCGGCCTTCTCTCACTTTAATACCAGGTCTTAGGCCTTCTCTCACTTTCATACCAGGTCTTCGGCCTTCTCTCACTTTAATACCAGGTCTTCGGCCTTCTCTCAGTTTAATACCAGGTCTTAGGCCTTCTCTCAGTTTAATACCAGGTCTTCGGCCTTCCCTCACTTTCATACCAGGTCTTTGGCCTTCTCTCAGTTTAATACCAGGTCTTCGGCCTTCCCTCAGTTTAATACCAGGTCTTCGGCCTTCCCTCAGTTTAATACCAGGTCTTCGGCCTTCCCTCACTTTCATACCAGGTCTTTGGCCTTCTCTCAGTTTAATACCAGGTCTTCGGCCTTCCCTCAGTTTAATACCAGGTCTTCGGCCTTCCCTCAGTTTAATACCAGGTCTTCGGCCTTCTCTCACTTTCATACCAGGTCTTTGGCCTTCTCTCAGTTTAATACCAGGTCTTCGGCCTTCTCTCACTTTCATACCAGGTCTTTGGCCTTCCCTCAGTTTAATACCAGGTCTTCGGCCTTCCCTCAGTTTAATACCAGGTCTTCGGCCTTCCCTCACTTTCATACCAGGTCTTTGGCCTTCTCTCACTTTAATACCAGGTCTTAGGCCTTCTCTTACTTTAATACTAGGTCTTAGGCCTTCTCTTACTAGTGCTTTTTTCTTTCAAGACAGAGTCCCACTCACTCTGTCACCCAGGATGGAGGCAGTGGCATGATCTCAGCTTACTCTAACTTCCGCCTCCCAGGCTCAAGCAATTCACATGAGGTTTCACCATGTTGGCCGGGCTGGTCTCGAACTCCTCAAGTGATCCGCCCACCTTGGCCTCCCAAAGTGCTGGGATTACAGGTTTGGCTCACCGCATCCAGTCTTTTCTCACATTCTTGACTGTGACAAGCAGATTAACTGATAAAAACAGAAACTTCTGCACAAAATAATAAAAAGAAAAACTCACATAAATGAAAAGACAAAACCAAGCAAAGCTGGGAAAAAAATGAATCTAAATGAGCACAGAAAGGAAAAAACAGCTCTGAGCGCACGGACCCCACAGATCCACTAGACACCAGCGATAAAGAGAAGGCCCTGCAACCAGTCCTCGCTCCGGTGAGCCCGCGGCCCGCGCTGCCGTGTGCTGCTGGAGAGGGGACAGGAAGCGAGGCACAGGCCGGCAGGAGGCAGCTTCCTCCCTGGCTGGTCAGTGGAGGGCTGGGAGCACCCGTGTCAGGGGTGCTGCAGGGCAGGGAGCACACAGCCCAGGGCGCCCCTCCAGTGGGATGGCTCGCAGACACAGTCAACAGCTGGAAGGGCAGGGGCTGCAGAAAGTCCCAGGGAGTAGGAACCAGGCCAGGAGACAGAACTCGTGGGTCATCAGGTGGCACAGAACGCAATTAAGAGGCAGGACTGCCAGGCCCAAGGCAGGGAGGCTGGAGATGGGGTGGGCCCTGGGGTGAGGCTGGCCCACCAAGCTCGTGCCAGAGCAGGTGGACCCAGAAAGAGGGGTCACTGTAGCAGGGACGCAAAGGGTGGGGAAGGGATGCCTGCCCTCAAACCACACAAACACAAAAATAAATCAAACCCACTGGCCCCAAGGAGGCTACTAGCAACAGCTGTGGGCCCTGCCGTGGCCCACAGATACCCCAGGGAAGGAAGGGGGAGGTACAGCACCCACCCCATCTTCTTGGGCCCTGTCCCTGTCCTCATCCCTATCCTCTGACCACCCCCCAGACACAGAGTACCCTTCTTCACCTTCACTCCTGAGCTCCTCATGCCAACAGTCAGGGGAGGAGCTGCAAAGGGCACAGCCAGACCCTGCTCCTTGAGTGCACCTCACAAAACACCAGGACTCCTGACCCCAGAAACACAGACAGCAAATGCTCGTTGTTGAAAGGCACTATGGTGGCCAGGTGCGGTGGCTCACGCCTGTAATCCCAGCACTTTGGGAGGCCAAGGCAGGTGGATTACCTGAGGTCAGGAGTTCAAGACCAGCCTGGCCAACATGGTGACACTCCCTCTCTACTAAAAATACAAAAAAAAAAAAAATTACCCGAGCGTGGTGGCTGGCATCTGTAATCCCAGCTACTCAGGAGGTTGAGGCACGAGAATCGCTTGAACCCAGGAGGCAGAAGTTGCAGTGAGCCGAGATTGTGCCACTGCACTCCAGCCTGGGCGATAAGAGCAAAAAAACTCCATCTCAAAAAAAAAAAAAAAAAAAAAAAAGAAAGGCTCCATGGTTTGGGGCAGTTTGTTGTGGTGCCAGATAACAAAACAAACAAACAGAGAGAAAACAGCAAAGGGCTCCTGGCCCAGGGAGCTCAGACCAAAATGACAAGAACCAGCTAGCTGTCCTGCCCTTGGGCAACAGCCATGAGGGTTTCCAGCCAGCTAAGTGCATGGATGATGCCGCCACAGGGAAGAGACAGAAGGGCTTCCGGGACTGGGACCACGGGCACGCACCGCCATGCCTGGCTCATTTTTTAAATTTTCTGTAAAAATGGGGTCTCATTATATGGCACAGGCTGGTCTTGAACTCCTGGGCTCAAGAGATCCACCTGCCTTGGCCTCCCAAAGTGCTGGGATTACAGGTGTGAGCCACTGGGCCCAGCCTGTGACTCATTCTTTTTATTTTTATTTTTTCAGTTAAGCCCAGCTGTGCGAGCCTCATTCTTAATGAAAGAAAAACATCACTAAACAAGAGGAAAAGATGAAGCAGCAACACCATGAGGGAGGCTGGTGGTGGGAAAGCAGCTGAGGGGCGGCTGCAGTAGTGCATGGCATCACCGCCTAGCGGAGGGACGCTCCAAGCACCTTCACAATTAAATGCATTGATGGCCAGGTGCGGCGGCTCACGCCTGTCATCCCAGCACTTCAGGAGGCCAAGACAGGTGGATTACCTGAGGTCAGGAGTTCGAGACCAGCTCAGCCAACATGGTGAAACCCGTCTCTCCTAAAAATACAGACATTAGCCGGGCGTGATGACGGGCGCCTGTAATCCCGGCTACTCAGGAGGCTGAGGCGGGAGAATCACTTGAACCCAGGAGGTGGAGGTTGCAGTGAGCCGAGATTGCACCACCGTACTCCAGCCTGGGCGACAGAGCGAGACTCTGTCTCAAAAAACAAAACAAAACAAAACAAAACAAAACTAGCCAGGCATGGTGGCGGGGACCCTGTAGTCCCAGCTACCAGGGAGGCTGAGGTAGGAGGATCCCTTGAGCCCAGGAAGTTGAGATTTTGGTGAGCCAACATCGCACCACTGCCCTCCAGCCTGAGTGACAGAGTGAGACCCTGTCTCAAACAAAAAAAAGCATTTATCCTTTGACCTAGAAATTCTCTTGGAATTTTCCCCAAGAATGGTGTGCACATGTGAGAAACAGCATGTTACTGTCAGGTCAACTGTAAGAGCAAAAGCCTGCAACTGCCCACCCACTGGAGCTGTTGAGGCCGAGCTGCCAGGCACTCTACGGGCACCAAGCACTGTACAAACCAGAGCCATGGCCTCCCTGACAGAACCATCCTGAGACAGCGCACGGCTGCCCCTTCTCTTAAGAAACCACCATTCAAAAACTCTGTGCGAGTTTGGATATGTCTAGAACATCCTGGAAAGAGACTTCAGCACTGGAAACAGTAGTTGCCTGGATGCAGCAACAGGAGCCAGGAGGGAAGGGTAGGAGACTCGTTCCCTGGCACACCCCTCAGGAGCACCTGAGCATCCAAAGGTGCCCTAGAACACCACGTGCAGCTGCTCACTGAATGCCACGTAATTCTACACAGTCCTTAGAAAGGAGGCAGGGTCGTGTGCATGTCAATGCTAAAGGCCTGAGGGCAGAAAGCCAGAGGGAAGCCTGTGGCCCGGCCCTGCAGCCAGAAGCACGCCCACCCTGGGTCCACCCAGGCAGGTCCGGAGCCCTTGGCAGGTCGCCAGGTCTCCACAGGGGCCGCCAGCAGCTGACCCCCAGCAGTCACCGGGCTCCCCGCTACAAGGGCCTCCCACTGTGGGGCTCTCCGCAGGACGCCCCGGGCCGGTCTGGGTTGGTTTGGGGCACACACTTGGAATCAGATTTATGGAGGAGGCTCTCTGAAGGTGACCCATCAGCCACATCGCTGCCAGGATGGCAGAGATGAACAAAAGCCGCAGCTCCCTCCCATGCCAGTCACACAGCCCCTTCTTCACAGCACCATCGGGGCCGGGTATACCCACCAAGGGCTAGGCGGCCTGGGGAGTGAGGCCCTCGCCCTGCCTGACTTCGTGTGTCCCTGAGGTGTCCGTGACATGACACATGCATGCTGCCTGATGCCCAGCCCCATCCCGCCACTGTTCCAGTCTGATGTGATGCTGTGGCTGGGATGTCCTTCAGATGCACGAGGCAGAGGCCACAGGGGCCACGTCTTGCCAACCACTGTGGAGGAAACAGCGACAGGAGGGAGTGGGGGGACAGGCAGAAGCACGTGGCAGAAGAGAAATTAGCAAAAACATCATCTCGTCCTTCAGGGGCTGCCAGGCAGACATTACCCTCACTTACCAAGTAACCCACCGAGGCCCATGAACCATCTGCAAGACCACACGAGTGGCCGTGGCCAGGACCACAGAATCCCAGGTGCGCCCACTGCAGGGCAAGGACACTTAGCAGCAGGAGAAGCTGCTGTGTCACTGTGGTGTGAATTCCCAGAACCAAGGGGCACTGATTCTAGAAGCCGCTCAACGGAAGGGTTCTTGGGTTGAGGACCCACAACCACTGGCAGGGGCATCGGGGGCAGAATCCTCCAGATGGCTGTGGCGGGCGAGGGTGTCTGGCAGAGCCCCTGGTGGCCCGGCCCCGTGGACCCACGATGCGAGTGGGAGGTGGCGGAGATACAGGCGTAAGGAGCCCTGGACTGCCTTCGGGATGACACAGAAACAGGCCTAACCTGAGGCCACTAACTGGGCATGACGGGGCCATCTTGGCGGCACTCTGGGAGGCCTCACGTGGCCACGCTCATGGAAGCCAAGAGAACATGCAGGAGGCAGCACTGGGCTGCCGGCTGAGTTTCCACCTGCAGGGCTGCACAATGGGAAAGGACTCCCACCATTCAAGAGGGGCGCGGAGGGCAGGCAGGAGGGAGTGGCCGCTCAGCAGGCCAAGGTGCCTGGGTGGCTTCTGATGAACAGGGGGGAAAAGGGAGGGGTTCCCACTAAGAAGCTGAAAGCACCCCCACCTCATCAATTCATTCTCCTGACCTGGAAGAATTTAAACCCAGTCATGAGGATCACACTTTAGAACTGAAAACACCCTGACAGGGCCCAAGGTGCCCCTCAGCTAAAGCACAGGACACGCGGGCAGATGCACGGGCGCCATGGCAGGGCAGGGCCTCAGCCCCTCAGCTAAAGCACAGGACACGCGGGCAGGTGCATGGGCGCCACGGCAGGGCAGGGCCTCGGCCCCTCAGCTAAAGCACAGGACACGCGGGCAGGTGCATGGGCGCCACGGCAGGGCAGGGCCTCGGCCCCTCAGCTAAAGCACAGGACACGCGGGCAGGTGCATGGGCGCCACGGCAGGGCAGGGCCTCGGCCTCCCAGCTAAAGCACAGGACACGCGGGCAGATGCACGGGCGCCATGGCAGGGCAGGGCCTCGGCCCCTCAGCTAAAGCACAGGACACGCGGGCAGGTGCATGAGCGCCACAACAGGGCAGGGCCTCAGGCAGGGACTTGGGCAGCCAGCAGCGTGGGGAACTCTGAGGACCGCCCCACCAGCCCGGCCGGCCTTGCCACCTCAGGCCCTGCTGGATGACGGAGCACACAGACCACAGACAGCGGTACTTTGGAAAACACCCTGCATGGGGCAGCCAGTTACGCGGTCACAGAAACCCGAGCAGGGCAATGGGCAGGACAAGCACACACTCAGCAGTGCAGAGGACCTGGTGCTCCAGGGGCCAGGAGACAAGCAGCGAGAAGAGAAGATGGCGCCTCCCTAGACTCCGCAGACACCTCTAGTACCTTTCAAGTACTTGGATATGTTATTATGCGAAAACATTGTTTTGGTTTTTGAGGCAGAGCCTCACTCTGTCACCCAGACTGGAGTGCAGTGGTGAGATCTCGGCTCACTGCAACCTCCGCCTCCCAGGTTCAAGTGATTCTAACGCCTCAGCCTCCCGAGTAGCTGGGATTACAGGCACGCGCCACCACGCCCAGCTAATTTTTATATTTTTAGTAGAGACAGGGTTTCACCATGTTAGCCAGGCTGGTCTTGAACTCCTGAGCTCAGGTGATCCATCCACCTTAGCCTCCCAAAGTGCTGGGATTACAGGCGTGAGCCACCACGCCCGCTGAAAGAATTTAATAAAAAAATCATTAACATGTAAATGTGTAAATCCTTAATTTAAAAAGGGACAGAAGACCCAGAAAGATGTACACCAGACCACTAACTGTGCTCACGGGTTAGGTGTGAGGGCCCTGAGTGGGAGCTTCCACCCTACTGAATGGTGCTGCTACAATATCTACATTATTTTCCAGGATGTTTTATCTCATAATTTTTTTTTGAAACAGGGTCTTGCTTGTCACCCAGGCTGGAGTGCAGTGGCTCTATCATAGCTCACTGTGACCTGGATTCCTGGGCTCAGGAGATCCTCCCACTTTGGCCTCTCGAGCTGCTGGGATTACAGGTATGAGCCACTGTGCCTGGCCCAGTATTGTATCATTTTAAAAACTCAAGAAGGGGTAACGTAGTTGTCCATAATCTTACAAACCACTGCCAACACAGCACATCATTTTTTCTCTGTGTATGTTAGTGGTATAATTAAAGCCTGAATTAAGTGTGATTTTAAATCTTTTCTTCCCAGCAAACAAGCCAACCCAACACAGCTAGCACACAATGAACAAGCCATGGTTCCTTGGCTTCTATCACGGGGACCTCTGCCAAGGCCGTAACTTCCAGAACACCGAAACTACTGGGAGAGTAAATCCTTACAAACGATTTCCAGAATGTTTAGAGTAACAAATGCTGGGCTGGGCGCGGTGGCTCACACCTGTAATCCCAGCACTTTGGGAGGCCAAGGCAGGCAGATCACTTGAGGTCAGGAGTTCGAGACCAGCCTGGCCAACATGGTGAAACCCCGTCACTACTAAACATACAAAAAAAAATTAGCCGAGCCTGGTAGTGGGCACCTGTAATCCCAGCTACTCAGGAGGCTGAGACAGGAGAATTGTTTGAACCCAGGAGGTGGAAGATGCAGTGAGCCAAGATCGCCCCACTGCACTCCAGCCTGGGCAACAGAGCAAGACTCTGTCTTAGAAAAAAAAAAAAAAAATAGGCCGGGCGTGGTGGCTCACCTGAGGTCAGGAAATCGAGACCAGCCTGGCCAACACGGCAAAACCCTGTCTCTACTAAAAGTACAAAAATTAGCCGGGCGTGATGGCATGTACCTGTAATCCCAGCTACTAGAGAGGCTGAGGCAGGAGAATTACTTGAACCCAGGGGATGGAGGTTGCAGTGAGCCAAGATCACACCACTGCACTCCAGCCTGGGCGACAGAGTGAGACTCTGTCTCAAAAAAATAAAAAATAAAAAAAAATAACAAATGCTGTGTTTTAGTTAAATTATGCTTTTCTCCTGTTGTTCTCAATAAGAGTAGGGTGCATCCTCCCCCACCATCGCTGCAACAGGTACAATGTTAAACCCTCTACCCGTCGGCTGCTCAGGCCCCTGAAGCCCTGTGGGGTCAGGCCCAGCTGGGTTCCGTTGGGGCCCCCATGCCGCCTGCTTGAGCCCTGCCATGCTGCTCAGCTCCCTCCTCAGCTGGGTCCTGCCACTGGATTCCAAGCAGTAAAATCCCCACCTCAAGGAAACCCAACCTGTTGCCAGGAGGGTTGCCCGAGCATCGTCTGACGGGGAAGGGCCTAGGCATGTGGATTTTCAGAGTTCCTGGGAACGGCACGCAACTGGGGATGGAAACCAGCGTCCTAGAGCCCAAGCGTGCCCCAGGTGCAGTGAAGGAGGGACGCCGGCCTTGGGGTTCTGAGGGACGGTGGAGAAGGCAGTACAGTGGCAGTCTCAGAAAGCCCAAGGCCACCTGCACATGGGGGACAGCCCTCGAGGGGGCTCCTCGCTCACCCACCTGCACCTGCTCCTCAGTGGTCTTTTTAATCCCACTGTGGCCCTCGTCATCAAGGGCTCCGTCCTCTCCCTCCTCGTCGCCTTCGTCATCATCCTCACTGCTGTCACTGCCGGAATCTTCCAGGCCTGAGAACACACTTTCCTCGCTGTCGGAGACGCCAGAATCGCTGCCGGTGCTGTGGCTGAGAGGAGAGGTGCAGAGGAGGGGGGGCTGCAAGGAAACACTGGGTTGGTGACAACTGCCCCTCCAGGCATGGGGCACTGAACACTGCAGGGAGAGCTGCCTCTCGCCCCTCCAGCCACCCACCAGCAGCTCCATGTGGCCTCCAGGACCACACCCCTCCAGTCACAAACTTCCACCAAAAGCATCCACCCAACCTGAGCCTTCCTCATCTTCTACCTCCACTGACAAGACAGCCTCTTGCCTTTGCCATCGACATTTTAATTCCTAGCACCTCACAGGGAAGGGGCTTTTCAAGGACAACCTCCTCCTCTTGGAGCTCAGCTCTCATCGCAAAACTAACACTGCTCTCTACCACCCACTGACACTCCGGAGGCCCTGTGGGGTCAGGCTGGGCTGGACTCCACTGGGTCCCTCAGACAGCCTGCCTGAGCCCTCTCCACACCTCACCCTGGCATCCAAGGCCCCAGAGCCAAGAGGTCACTAGAAAAGGGGCTGGGGGCTGGAAGAGAAATGGGTCCCCAAAGGGCTTTTACCACCTGAAGCAGACGCCTCCTCATTTAACCAGATTGGGACCAACGATTGATCAGTAAATTGAAAGGATTGGCTGAAGAGTCACAGGAATGATAGAGACTCTAACCGCAACCACGCACCAACCCACCCACTCCTCTCTCTGAGCAGGACCACAGCTGCCTCTGAGCAGAGCCCTGCTGGCTGCGTGACACCGGCACACACAGTGTTCGGGTCCTTCACTGGCCTTAAAGGGTGGAACAAGAACTTAGACTCTTAGGAAGCAGTTGAAGGCCAGGCACAGTGGCTCACTCCTGTAATCCCAACACTTTGGGAGGCTGAGGCGGGTGGATCACCTGAGGTCAGGAGTTCAAGACCAGCCTGGCCAACATGGTGAAACCATCTCTACTAAAAATACAAAAATTAGCTGGTGGTGGCGGGCACCTCTAATCCCAGCTACTCAGGAGGCTGAGTTAGCCAGGAGGTGGAAGCTGCAGTGAGCCAAGACTGCACCACTGCACTCTAGCCTGGGCAACAGAGCCAGGCTCTGTCTCAAAAAAAAAAAAAAGAAAAAAGAAAGAAAAGGAAAAGAAAAGAAAAAGGAAGCAGTTGAATGCAGAATTCTAGATTTTACTGTTTTCCTAATAGTTTACAAGTCTCACTTAAGGTACGACCTGCATGTATTAGCTATTGCATACCGAGTGTTCACACAATGCCTCTCTCACACAGAGTCATGATGTGTCTTGGTATTCAGTCGGCTACACAATCACAATAACTAGTGGAAATGGCATCCGTGGCCTGGGCGCAAACAACTGGCTCCTGAGGACCGTTTAGTCCAAGGGTGGAAGTCGCAGAACCTGGCGCCTAGAGTGGCCTGCGGGCCATTCAGCCCATGGGAGCCAGGATGAGTTGAATTCGCTTCACAAAGCAATGGGGCAGTTTCAACAACCCAGCGCGGCCGCGGCCGAGGGGGCTGTGAGGGGCTGGCTGTCCATCCCCTCCACCACCCAATTTGATGATCCCCACAACCAAGACAGGGCTGAGCTAGCAGAGAGCAACAGTGAGTTCTAATACAGCAAATGCAGCAGACACTGGGTTCTATTCAGGTTTTCTTATTCTCATGTCTATCCCATGAGCATAAAAACGCAATTAACTAGCGTATACGTAGGTTAAGCATTTACTGGGAGCGCAAGCCGAGCCCTTTTATTGGCAGGATGCACAAATGGAACGGCTGGAGAGGCTGCTGCAAGGGGCGCCCCGTCCCCACTCCCCGCTCCCCCGTTTCTTTGCTTCCCGGACGCCGTCCTTTACCCCGCAGTCCGCTCTGCCTGAGACCCCCCGATAGAGGAGCTGCACCCACGCCCAAGACCGATTCACTGGGCGCGGGCGCCCAGGTGACAGAAGCCGGGCCCACCCGCCCCAGCGCGGCCACGTGCCCGCCGGGCCCTCTAGGGACGCGCCCCGCCGCCCCGCATCGCCACAGTCACCTCCGGCTCGGGCTCAGGCTCCAGTTCGGGCTCAGACCGCCGCTTCTCCGGCCGCACGCTCGGCGCCGCCGTGCGCCCCGCACCCCGCGAACCCGCCATGCCCCACCGCGCGCCGGCCGCCACCCGCACAGCCGCTTCCGACAGCGACCGGGCCGCGTGCGCAGGAGGACGCGCCCCGCCCAGCCCGGCCCCGATTGGCGGGTGGAGGGAAGGGGGTGGGACCAACACGCGCAGGCGCGCGGCTGGGCCGGGGACCAGGGCGGGGTCGGGGCCTGCGTGCTCGCGCCGGGGGTGACGCGGGAGGGCGGCAGCGGCGGCGGCGGGAGCGCGCCCGTTGCAAGATGGCGGCGGCCATGCTGGGCCCCGGGGCTGTGTGTGCGCAGCGGGCGGCGGCGCGGCCCGGAAGGCTGGCGCGGCGACGGCGTTAGCCCGGCCCTCGGCCCCTCTTTGCGGCCGCTCCCTCCGCCTATTCCCTCCTTGCTCGAGATGGATCTGCCCGTGGGCCCCGGCGCGGCGGGGCCCAGCAACGTCCCGGCCTTCCTGACCAAGCTGTGGACCCTCGTGAGCGACCCGGACACCGACGCGCTCATCTGCTGGAGCCCGGTGAGGGCAGCGCGCGGGCGCGGGGCCCGTGGGGACCGGGAGGGAGCAGGGCCGCGGCGGACGGCGCGGGAGGGCTGCGGGGAGGGGCCCTGCCGCACTTCAGCTTACGCGCGGTGAGCCTGCCCTGCCCCCGCCAGAGAAGGGCGGCGGGTCCCGAGCCTGCTCAGACCCAGAGCCTTAAGTTGGGAAAGCGGCTACGAGACCCACACTCGGTTCAACCCCTGCCCCAGCGAAGTTTCCCTGGGATGGGGAGAATGGGGCGTCTCTTGTATTGGGCTTCTGCTAACTGTTGGGCGGTTGCGGAAGTGTCCGCGCTTAGGGCAAGCACCCGGCTTCGCCAGCGGACGCTATGCCCCAGAGGACATCGGCGTCCCCAGGGGACAGCCTACGGGGTGCTGGGTCGGCAACTATTAGGAGAAAGTCAGGACTTGGCACGTGAAGTGGAGGGCGTTGCTGTAGTGGAACAGGAAAGGCAGTGGAAACAGTAAGACGTCATGAAGCTTCAGGTTGATCTCAAGCCCGTTTCCGAATCCCAAATCTGGGTTTCCCAAGAGGAGTTTTGTTTTTCATTCCTTATGGGGCATCTTTATTCGTGTTTCTGTCTTCAGTTGCCTGGCAGCAGGCTTGTTTACATGGTCCGACCCTGCAAGACCGGACAGCTCCGGTTTGCAGAAGTAAATCAGTGATTGTCTGGAGTTGGAGATCAGAATCTGCTGTTCACATCCCGGCTGTGACGTCGTGTCCGGTGAGGGGCAGAGCCACCGCCTGCGGCTGGCAAGTGATGACCTGAAGAAGGGCCACACTGGCCGAGTGGGGTGACTCTTGCTTGTAATCCCAGCACTTTGGGAGGCGGAGGCGGGTGGATCACTTGAGGCCAGGAGTTCGAGACCAGCCCGGACAATATGGCAAAACCCCAGCTCTACTAAAAATACAAAAAATTTGCCGGGCGTGGTGGTGCTTGCCTGTGGTCTTAGCTACTTGGGAGGCTGAGATAGGAGGACTCCCTGGACCTGGGAGGCAGAGGTTGCACTGAACCAAGATCCCGCCACTGCAGCCTGGCAAAGAGTGAGACCCTGTCTAAGAAAAAAAAGAAAAAAAAGAAAGGCCACTGATCATTGGGAGCTTTTGGAGGCACCGTGACCGGCAGGGTGCCACCAAGCATGTGTGGCCTCCCAGGAGCTAAGACCCCAGAGTTCTTCAGGCTCTGCTGAGTGCCTCCCATTTGCACAGCCTCTTTATGCTGTTAGGAATGAAGAAAAGTCTAAACTGAAGCTGCCCCAGGCAGGAGGCCAGGTTTTCTGCTTCTTGGGTTTACTGAGGCTCTGCTTTACCTACAGAGTGTTTGGAAATAAAGAGAAGACTGGAAATCTTTGCTCTTGTTAGAAACACTTTGTGTTTGTCCCGCTGACACCTCTGTGTTGGCCTTCCCATCCCCAGGTCCCATTAAGGCACAGTGCACCTTCCTGGAGGCTGGCTTCATTTCACCATCTCTTCATTCTAGACCTTGGATTCTTGTGCAAAGGAAATACTCCCATGTTTCTGTCTTCTTTTATCCGTCTTTTTCTTTTTTCTTTTTTTTTTTTTTAGACCGAGTCTTGCTCTGTCACCCAGGTTGGAGTGCAGTGGTGCGATCTCGGCTCACTGCGACCTCCACCTCCCGGGTTCAAGCAATTCTGCCTCAGCCTCCCGAGTAGCCAGGACTACAGGTGCGTGCTGCCACACCCGGCTGATTGTTGTATTTTTAGTAGAGACGGGGTTTCACCACATTGGACAGGCTGGTCTGGAACTCCTGACCTCAAGTTATCCACCCGCCTTGGCCTCCCAAAGTGCTGGGATTACTGGTGTGAGCCACTGCACCCAGCCCTTCTTCTTTTTCTTATTCCCCTTAATCCTCAGAAGTTAAGGGGAATAACTCCCCCATTGGGGGAGGGGCATCCGCGATTATCTGGGATATTCTAAGCTTAATCCTACTAGCGTGATCTGTCCTGTCCCGTAATCTGCTTGCTGTTTCTGCTTAAAGATTATGAGGCATGTGGGTTAGGGCCCAGTGTACCCTTTTTTGGGACCGAGGCATGTTCTGGGCAGGGCTTTTGAGCAAGGAAGGCAGGTGTGATGAGGCCCGTGGCCAGCCTCCACTCCACTCACAGGTGCACCACCTGTGGATCTGTTCTCCCTGGGGAGGGATGGGGAGCCAACTGGAATGTGAGTGTTTGGTTCCACCTGGTCAGTATGAAGTGGCAATGGTTGGTGCAGGACGTAGCACTGGGGGCGAGCATGGCAATGAGACAGAAACACTGACTTAAAACTGGAAGGAAGCCCTTCTCCAGGCCGCGCAGGGGGCTGCAGAGCTTTCCGGCGCTGGCTGCCTGGCCTGGAGAAAGGAGGTGATCATCCCATCCTGTGACTTTGAGAGCACTCACACAAGCCCTGAGGACTCCCTGTCAGCAGAGTCCCAACAGGGCACCCTCCCACAAATCTACTGCCCAGGCCCAGCTGGCTCTCGGAGGCCTTGAGAAGGCCCTGGTGCTCTTGCTCTCTGCTGCCTTCTCTGGGAGAGTCTCCTTCTGGCTCAGAGTCTTACCACCATTCTGCCAAGAAAAACCCTCCCTATTTGACACAAGAAGATGAGGCAGAATCACAGGCATGGTGACTAACTCTCAAGGCTGAATAACCTGGGGGAGACCGAGGCCCAGAAACTGGCCAGTAACTTTACTGAGCCTGGCCAGGAATGGGACCAGGTCTGGACCACCATTGCACGTCCCCTCCCTGGCCTGAGATCAGGACTCCCACTGCAGCCACTGGAGGCAGAATGCCGGGTCACTGCCCAGGAGACCCCATTGGTGGGGACTGTGGCAGCTACCCCATCCCTGTGTTGTTTGATTTCCCACCCCCCCCTCCCAAGACCCTCATTCCCATGAGCACCCCACCCACACAGGCAAGGGCCTTGAGGGGACCCAGCAAGTCGTGGAGGACAGCACAGCCTTGGAGAGGAAATGTGTCAGCCACAAGGTTATGATCCCGGGGATCCACATAAGAGCATGGGCGTGCACGTGGGTGGTCCTCCCTCAGCCAGCTTCTCAACAGCTTCTCCCAAAGGTACACCTGGATCCAGTACCACTGAGACCCAAAGACGGGGTTGGGGGACTGAATACCTGGACTGACAGGCACCTCCATAGAACTGAGACCCATGAGACCCGGGACCCGCAGCCTCCCTGCCCCGTGCCCTGGTGCCGGCCCTCAGCCCAGCTTCCTCGTCTGCATGCAGCAGCTCCTCTGTCCACCAGCAGAGGCTCTTCTAGGGCCTTGCTGGGCTGCAGCTGACTCAGGAGGGCAACAGCCTCTTCAGAGAATTTGACAGCATGGAGAACCAAACAAAAGCAGAAAGTGAAGCCTCAGAACTGGGTTCACCATCATCCCAGTTTTTTACAAGCTATGATTTTGTCCCATCTTTATTAACAAGATAAGGAAGTATGAAAAGTAATCTCGACATCTGAGATGGTGAGATTACAGCCCCAGGAGCCACCCAGCTGGCTGAGGAGCCTGAGAACAAGGCACAGCCACATGACCTGTGCCAGACAAATGCTAGAATGATGGTCACGCAGGTTAGAACGAACCCAGGTAGACGGAGGCCTCAGGATCAGGGTGAGGCCAGAGGGGGCACCTGGGTGCAAAATTTAAGGAAGCACTTTTTGTTTTTTAGATAAGGTCTCGCTCTGTTGCCCAGGCTGGAGTGCAGGGCTATGATTGCAGCTCGCTGCAGCCTCTGCCTCCCAGGCTCAAGTGATCCAGTCACCTCAGCTGAGTCACTGGGACTACAGGCTTGCACCACCAGACCTGGCTTTTTTTTTTTTTTCTTTTTAAGGTTTTAGTAGAGACAGGGTCTCGCCGTATTGCCCAAGCTAGTCTGGAACTCACGGGCTCAAGCCATCCTCCCATCTCAGCCTCCCGAAGTGCTGGGATTACAGGCTTGAGCCACCGCGCCTGGCCCTGAGGCATTCCTTTTTAAGACCTACCTGCATTCGGATGGCGCTGGGAGTGGGGGCCTCCTTAGATGTGGGCTCCTGGATGCTTCTCTGTCTTCACCTGGCCCCAGCCTCATGGGTGCAGCTGGAAAGACTCTAGAAGGATGTGCTGAAACCCTGGGGCTCCCTGAGACTGAGTGAGCTGGAGGTCACCAAGGCCCTCGGCCTATCGCGGGAGAGAGTTCCATTGAAAGCCAGTGGTCAGGTGGCCGCTGTGGAGGGTCTCTGGGTGGACAATTGGGAGCAGAGTGGTCCCTGCAGTGAGGCAGGGGGCAGGGCCTGAGGGGTCCCTGAAGTAAGGCAGGGCAGGGCGTCCACTCATAAGCACACGAGGAGTTGCAGAAGCAGAGCCGACCTGGCCACGCTCAGTCACTCAGACCCTGGTCACAGATCGTGTCCGGAGCTCCCACGGCAGGCAGGGCCACCCCTGCTTCCCTGGTTCTGAGAGCCGCCAAGACCCAGCAGGCCCACTGGCCCCACCCTGGAAGATCTGGTATTTGGCCCAAGATGCTGGAGGCCCCACAGCAGCAGCTGTGAGAAGTGCTGCAGGGTCTGGAGGGCCTGATGTGTGCCCGGACCATAGTGCCTCCTGGTGTGGCCATAAGAAGGCACACAGCTGGGGCTGGTCGTGGTGGCTCACGCCTGTAATCCCAGCACTTTGGGAGGCTGAGGTGGGCGGATCACGAGATCAGGAGGTCAGGAGATTGAGACCATCCTGGCTAACATGGTGAAACCCCGTCTATATTAAAAAATACAAAAAACTAGCTGGACGTGGTGGTGGGTGCCTGTAGTCCCAGCTACTTGCGAGGCTGAGGCAGGAGAACGGCGTGAACCCAGGAGGCGGGGCTTGCAGTGAGCTGAGATCGCGCCATTGCACTCCAGCCTGGGTGACAGAGCGGGACTCCATCTCAAAAAAAAAAAAAAAGAAGGCACACATCTGTCCTCATACAGCTTCTGTGCATAGCACAGAAAAAATTAAAAAGGCTCTGTGCTGTAGCCTCCTGTGTTTCCTCTGCCCCGGATGGTGTGGTGGGGGGGGTGCGGTGAGGAGGGGCCCAGGGCACAGAAGGGCTGAGCTGCAGTGGCCTCCTGGGGGGAGGCAGATGCCTCCGGTGCCCCATGCCCACCCAACTCCACAGGCTAGTGTTTGCTCAGTCCTTTATTGAGGGACCAGGGATGGACAGCCTGGCCCTGAAAGTCTCTCAGTTTTGGAGGAGTCAGCCTGTGTGCAGGGCGAGCTGGAGAGGGGTCGGTGGGGCTCACAGTGCCTTCCCAGAGGAAGCAAGCAGCTCCCATCGGGTATATTGAGGGCTGTTGGCTCCAGGGTCTCCTCAAGGTCTGGCAGGTGGAGGGGAGGCTGTCTAAGGAAAGGAGGTGGTCCCAAATGTCTCAAGGCACCTGGCAGCAAGGGCTGCTGCTGCCTCAGCCTCCTCCCTGTGACCCTGTGGGCCATGGTGAGCAGCAGTAGCCACCACACTTGTGCACGGCAGCCAGTGACGAGATGTGATGAGAGATGAGGGCGATTGTGCTGCTCTTGGTCCTTGTGTGGCGAGAACACGCTGGAAGCTCCTCCAGAGCGGAAACAAGAAGAGTGTTTATGAGAAAGGTGCGGGTGGCTCAGATGTGGACAGAACCAGACCAGGGAACGGGGCCACAAAGTGAGCCACTTTGTCTGCACCTGCTCGCGCTTCCTGCCTGCCTCACTGCTTCCATGCCCTGACTCCGGTGGTCCCTGCTCCCCACACGTGGGCCACAGCTACTCACACACGCGCTCCCTTTGCTCCTAAAGCCTATACTCCCGGGACCCGGAGAGGGAACAGCCGGCCAGCCGAGCCCAGGAGCCCAGATCACCGGTCAGCAGATACAGCTTTGACTTGGCAGGAGGCTGGAACAAGAGGCTTGTGGCCTGGGCTGTGGGGCCACCTTGTAGAATACGGCACTGTTCACGTTTTGGGCCAGGGAGCCCTTTGAGAAGATACTCAGAGACACAGACACTTTCTATGTAAGGTGTCCCTACAGGCAGGATCTCACACACATTTCAGGTCCTTCACAGTGCTGCAGAAAATGAGGCCACAGGCTCCAAGTTTACTGCAAGCTGCGGGGTTTGCTGACACCTACACTTCTCAGCGTGTGGCATCTCGCACCAGCCAGGGGCCTCCCATTTCCAGTGGCAGGTTTTCGTGATATCCAGTTATGACCGGTGACTCCTCCAAGAGGTGCCTGTGGTCAGCAGAGGAGGGACCTTGTTCCACTGAGGCAGGAAGATGAGAGAGACACTGGGTTCTCTGATGGGTTCACCAGCAGACCCTGTGAAATTCATAATGGCCCCTAAGGTAGGGGTTGCCTGACATGTTCAACTTGGATTTAACCCTTAAGGCATAAGAAGCCGCTGAAAATGTTCAGACGTTACAAAACTAGGGCCGGGCACGGTGGCTCACGGCTGTAATCCCAGCACTTCGGGAGGCTGAGGCGGTTGGATCACCTGAGGTCAGCAGTTCAAGACCAGCCTGACCAACATGGTGAAACCCCGTCTCTACTAAAAATACAAAAAAAAAAAAAATAGCCAGGCGTGGTGGTGCGTGCCTGTAATCCCAGCTACTCGGGAGGCTGAGGCAGGAGAATCACTTGAACCTGGGATACAGAGGTTGCAGTGAGCCGAGATTGCGCCGCTGCGCTCCAGCCACAGAGCGAGAAACTGTCTCAAAAAAAAAAAAAGAAAGAAAAGAAAAAACCGGCGAGGACTGAGGTAAACCACAAAATTGTCCAGGCTTTTTATGTGGAGGGAATTTGCAGACTCACGTGCAGAGAACCCAACAAACCCAGACTTTGGGGCAGCTGAGGCAGCTAGAATGTGTGGGGTGTGGTACCAGAAAGGAAGGAGTTACGCCCAAAACAAAGAGCTCCAGCAATCTGCGCGTGAGCCCGCTTGCATCTTGGGTTGGATCCGATTTGCTGGTGCACACAGTGAAACCTCGTGGAGCTGGACCAAGAGCAACTTGAAGGGGAAGAGTAAGTGTAAGGGGACAGATGAGCAGGACTCACACAGGGCCGTGGTTATTTCAGTTCCCACCAGCCAGAGTATAGAAGCCACTTTAAATACAAGGAGCTTTCATGACACCTTAGAGGAAACACAGCTTGGAAGTGGCGCAGAATAAGCTGCAGAGGAAAGGCCACTCCAATGCCGTGGAAACAAGTGCAAGGCAAGCCCTGGAAACACCACTGCCTGCTAGCACGGAGTACACACAGCACTCTTGAGAGAAGGAAGCCAGGCGAAGTGGCTCACACCTGTAATCCCAGCACTTTGGGAGGCCGAAGCAGGCGGATTATCTGAGGTCAGGAGTTCAAGACCAGCCTGGCCAATATGGTGAAACGCCGTCTCTACTACAAAAAATTAGCCATGTGTGGTGATGGGCGCCTGTGGTCCCAGCTACTTGGGAGGCTGAGGCAAGAGAACCACATGAGCCCGGGAGGCAGAGGTTGCAGTGAGCCGAGATCGCATCACTGCACTTCAGCCTGGGCAACAGAGCAAGACTCCTTCTAAAAAAAAAAAAAAAAATTCACGTCCAGAATCTAATCAGTCATGGGCAGACAAGCCAAAGCAGAAAAATGGACTTGTCACTGGAGGGGGTCCAGTAGCAGGCCCAGTTTTGATAGGATTAGCCAACAAAGACAGTAAACAATTATAAAAATGTTCCCTGTGCTCAAAGAAATAACACAAAAATGTGACTGAGGGCTGGGCGTGGTGGCTCACACCTGTAATCCCAGCACTCTGGGAGGCCGAGGCGGGTGGATCACGAGGTCAGGAGATCAAGACCATCCTGGCTAACATGGTGAAACCCCGTCTCTACTAAAAATACAAAAAATTAGCCGGGCGTGGTGGCGGGCACCTGTAGTCCCAGCTCCTCCAGAGGCTGAGGCAGGAGAATTGCTTGGACCCGGGAGGTGGAGCTTGCAGTGAGCCAAGATCGTGCCACTGCACTCCAGCCTGGGTGACAGAGCGAGACCCCGTCTCAAAAAATAAGAAAACATGACTGAGAAATGGAAGATACAGAAAAGAAGCAAGTTGGACAAAATGTCACTGGAACTAATCTCCCAAGTAGAAGAATTCCACATTGTTTACTGAGATAGTTCCCCTTCGAGGAGGTGATGCTTAACTCCTCACTCCAGAAGCCTGGGCTTTACCTAGTGACCCTCTTCCAAAGAGCAGAGCACAGAAGCAGGAGGAGCAGCTTTCCAGTGGAGACCTCCAGCAACACAGCCTCACCAGGGACCATGCTCACCATCAGCAGTGACATGCGTATCACTGTTGTGTACTCTTTTTTTTTTTTTTTTTTTTTTTGAGACGGAGTCTCGCTCTGTTGCCAGGCTGGAGTGCAGTGGCACAATCTCGGCTCACTGCAACCTCCACCTCCCAGGTCCAAGCAATTCTCCTGCCTCAGCCTCCCACGAAGCTGGGACTACAGGCACCCGCCACCTCGCCCGGCTAATTTTGTTGTATTTTTAGTAGAGATGGGGTTTCACCGTGTTAGCCAGGATGGTCTCAATCTCCTGACCTCGTGATCCGCCCACCTTGGCCTCCCAAAGTGTTGGGCGCGTCAGCCACCGCGCCCGGCCTGTTGTGTACTCTTGATAGGATGATGAGAACAGCACTCTACCTCTTTGATCTTCCTCCCAAAAACATACGTAACCCCAGCTAATGATGAAAAAACATCAAACAAATCCAAATTGAGAGACATTCCACAAACTGTTTGACGAGTCCTCAAAATTGTCAAGGTTCTCAAAAACTAGGCAAGTCTGAAAGGTGCCAGAGTCAGTGGGACTGAAGAAGATGTGACAACTGGATGGATTTTGGATGATGTCCTGGAGCAGAGGAAGGATTGGGTAAAAAGCTAAGGAATCTGATTAGAATGTGGGTCCTAGTTAACAATGTGTCTAATGTTCTTGAGACAACTGTACCACACAAAGGCAGGATGTTAATGATGGGGGACACTGGTGTAGGGCATGTATTCTAAAGTAAAAAGGTGGTTCTTCAGAGTCACCGGAGCGGTTTAACAAAACATTAGAAACTTCAGAAGAAAAGATTCCTGAACTAAAAGCAATGGAAACTGTCCACAGTGATGTACAGGGAGAAAAAGGACTGCAAAAACTTAGCCGAGCTTCAAGGACATAATATCATGTGGTCTAACGTATTTGAGGTTCCAGAAAACAGTGGGGAAGAGAATACAGAAATATGACCAAAAGGCTGGACACGGTGGCTCCTGCCCGAAATCCCAGCACTCTGGGAGGCTGACATGGGTGGATCGCTTGAGCCCAGGAGTTCAAGACCAGCCTGGGCAACATAGCAAGACCCTGTCTCTATAAATAATACAAAAATTAGCCGGGCGTGGTAGTGCCTGCCTGTGGTCCCAACTACTCGGGAGGCTGAGGCGGGAGGATCACCTGAGTGCAGGAGGTGGAGGCTGCAGTGAGCCATGATCGTACCACTGCACTCCAGCCTGGGCAACAGAGCCCTGTCTCAAAAAAAAAATTATGGCCAAAATTTTTCCCAAATTTTTGAAAAGCTGTAAGCTCACAAATCCAAGAATATCAGTCTTAAGCAGGATAAAACCAAAACCATATCAAGGTACATTATATAATCAAAGTGCTGGAACAGGCTGGTGAAGAGAAAATCTTAAAAGCTCCAGAAGAGGCCGGGCGCGGTGGCTCACGCCTGTAATCCCAGCACTTTGGGAGGCCAAGGCGGGCGGATCACCAGGTCAGGAGGTCGAGACCATCCTGGCTAATACAGTGAAACCCCGTCTCTATTGAAAATACAAAAATTAGCCGGGCGTGGTGGCGGGTGCCTGTAGTCCTAGCTACTCGGGAGGCTGAGGCAGGAGAATGGCGTGAACCCGGGAGGCAGAGCTTGCAGTGAGCCGAGATCGCACCACTGCACTCCAGCCTGGGCGACAAAGCGAGACTCCGTCTCAAAAAAAATAAAAAGCATCCAGAAGAGCCGTGCACGGTGGTGGTGCCTGTGGTGCCAGCTACTCAGAGGCTCGGGTGGAAGGATTGCTCCCAGATGGGGCAACATAGCTTGGCCAACATGGTGAAACCTTGTCTCTACTAAAAATACAAAAACTAGCTGGGCGTGGTGGCAGGTGCCTGTAATCCCCGCTACTCGGGAGGCTGAGGCGGGAGAATCTCTGGAACCCAGGAGGCAGAGGCTGCAGTGAGCCGAAACTGCACCATTGCACTCCAGCCTGGGCGACACAGCGAGACTCCGTCTCCAAAAAAAAAAATTTTTTTTTGCAACTCAGGAAGACAACCATTTAAAAAAAATTAAAGGCAGGCCGGGCGCCGTGGCTCACGCCTGTAATCCCAGCACTTTGGGAGACCGAGGCAGGCGGATCACAAGGTCAGGAATTCAAAAGCAGCCTGGCCAATATGGTGAAACCCCGTCTCTACTGAAAATACAAAAATTAGCTGGGCGTGATGGCAGGTGCCTGTAGTCCCAGCTACTCAGGAGGCTGAGGTGGGAGAATCGCATGAACCCGGGAGGCAGAGGTTGCAGTGAGCTGAGATCGCGCCATTGCACTCTAGCCTGGGCAGTGGAGCGAGACTCCATCTAAAAAAAAAAGATAATAATAATAATAAATAAAACGCAAGTGGCTGAGCATGGTAGCTGACACCTGTAATCCCAACACTTTGGGAGGCCAGCGCGGGTAGATTGCTTCCACTCAGGAGTTCGAGACCAGCCTGGGCAACATAGGGAGACCCATCTCTACAAAAAAAAATGAGCCTGATGTGGTGGTGTGCTCCTGTGGGCCCAGCTACGCGGGAGGCTGAGGTGGGAGGATCTCTTGATCCCAGGAGGTAGAGGTTGCAGTGAGCCCAGATCGCGCCACTGCACTCCAGCCTGGGTGACAAAGCAGACTCTGTCTCGAAAAAACATACATTGAAAAAGGCAGAAGATTTGAACAGATACATCAAAAAAAAGATAGACAAATAGCAAATAAGCACTTGAACAGGTGCTCAGCATCGTTCGTTGTCAGAGGAATGCACACGAAAACCGCAGCGACAGCGACTAGAACAGCCAGGTGCTGAGGAGGGTGCGGAGCCCCTGGAACTCACCCGTGCTGCTGAGAACACAAATGCTGCATCCGCTTTGGAAAGCAGCTTGGGAGTTGCATGTGAAATTCAGCATTTACCACACGGCCAGCAGTTCTGCTTTGGTTATTCTACTCCAGAGTTTCCACTGGGGGTCCTTTATGATTTCGTCTCTTCTATCATTTTTTTGGTATAGATGGGGGTCTCGCTATTTGGATTATTGTTGCAGGCGTGTTTGGGGTTTTTGAGTAGTGGTAGTGTCTGAGGTCAGTCAGGGTTGTTCTGGCCCCAGCAGGGCTCTTCGTAGCTTTTCCTGTGCAGGTGAACAAGCCTGCGGTTTCACTTGTTTCTCTTAACTTAGAGGAGCTGTTGTTCCCAAGAGCAGTCTTGGGCTGAACTTTCAAATAAAATGAGTTTCCTCAGGGAGCTTCAGAGCTCTTTCCTTATGGACGGCCTCTCTCCCCAGGCTGATTTCTCTGCACCACCCTTCTGGGCACTGGGTAAGACAGCAGCCTCTGATCTTCTTGGCCTGGCTTTCCCAGCATGGGTGCTCTACCCTACTGTTTTAACCTAGAAAGCCTGAACTGTATTTAAAACTTGTGGTTTTTAAGGCCAGGCACAGTGGCTCATGCCTGTAATCCCAGCACCTTGGGAAGCCAAGGTGGGTGGATCACTTATGGTCAGGAGTTCAAGACCAGCCTGACCAACCTGGTGAAAGCCTGTCTCTACTAAAAATATAAAAATAAGCCGGGCGTGGTGGCACATGCCTGTAATACCAGCTACCCAGGAAGCTGAGGCAGGAGAATTGCTTGAACCCAGGAGGCGGAGGTTGCAGTGAGCCAAGATGGCACCACTGCACTCCAGCCTGGGCGACAGCGAGACTCCATATAAAAAATAAAAAAAAAAATTGTGGTTTTGAAAATGCTTTAATTAGGTGGGAGCTGTGGGGAGGGTGATCAGAGACCTGGGTGTCCTCAGCCTGCTGTGGCGGGGGTAGTCTCCTCTCTGAGGCTTGGGCAAGGTGGAGGAAGGGAGCCCCTGGCTTCTTGGCCACGTGCACCAGGATCTTAGTCTCTTCAACTTGGAGTCGGTGAGGATGTGAAACTCTGGTGGTCTGCCCAGCCCATGAGATCCAGGAAACCTTATTTGGGAATTGAGGGGAGAAGGGTCCCCATCTTCCTGCTCCCCTCTCCCTGAGTGTAGTACCCATCATGGTGAGCTGGGGTGAGAGGGAAAGAGGAGGCTGAGGCTCAGATGCCACCAGGCTTAATGTTCGTACCAGGTGTCAGTAGATTTTACTCCGTAAGTGTTCATCTGTTATATGCGTTTAGGACAGTTTTGAGACTTTAAGTGGTTTAAGCTTTGCTTGTTTCACAGGAAGTACTTCCATGAAGTTCCTCACATTGCTGTTCCAGAAGTGGAAATCTCTCCATTTTCAAAGCATAGCTTTGCCGGATATTGAATTTTTATGTTTTGTAGAGATGGGGTCTCGCTATGTTGCCCAGGCTGGTCTCCAACTCCTGGGCTCAAGGGATCCTCCTGCCTTGGCCTCCCAAAGTGCTGGGATTACAGGCATGAGTAACTACACCCGGCCAATATACAAAGATTGAGTGGCAGGGTCTTTTATTTTAATGCTTTTATTTTATTTGTTTTGGTTTGTTTTTGTTTCTGTTTTTTTGGAGATGGAGTCTCGCTCTGTCACCCAGGCTAGAGGGCAGTGGCACGATCTGTGCTCACTACAACTTCTACCTCCCGGGTTCAAGCAGTTCTTCTGCCTCAGCCTCCCAAGTAGCTGGGATTACAGGCATGAGCCACGACACTAAAATTTTTCCATTTTTAGTAGAGGCGGGGTTTCACCATGCTGGCCAGGCTGGAACTCCTGACCTCAAACGATCCACACACCTCAGCCTCCCAAAGTGTTGGGATTACAGGCATGAGCCACCACACCAGGCATTTTAATCCTTTTTTTTTTTTTTTATTGAGACAGAGTCTCACTCTGTCCCCCAGGCTGGAGTGCAGTGGGGTGATCTCGGCTCACTGCAACCTCTGCCTCCTGGGTTCAAGCGATTCTCCTGCCTCAGCCTCCCGAGTAGCTGGGACTATAGGCGCCCGCCACTGTGCCGGCTAATTTTTATATTTTTAGTAGAGACGGGGTTTCCCCATGTTGGCCAGGCTGGTCTCGAATTCCTAACCTCAGGTGATCCGCCTGGCTCAGCCTCCCAACATGCTGGGATTACAGGTGTGAGCCACCATGCCCGGCTGTGTTACACTTTTTGTGGTGTCTCACAGGTCTCTGAGGCTCTGCTCATTTTTGTTTTTGTTTTTATTTTTTTGAGACAGAGTCTCTTTCTGTCACTAGACTGGAGTGCAGTGGTGCAATCTCGGCTCACTGCAACCTCTGCCTCCAGAGTTCAAGCGATTCTCTTGCCTCAGCCTCCCAAGTAGCTGGGATTACAGGCACATGCCACCATGCCCAACTAATTTTTTTTGTATTTTTAGTAGAGATGGGGTTTGACCATGTTGGCCAGGATGGTCTAGATCTCTTGACCTCGTGATCCAACCACCTTGGCCTCCCAAAGTGCTGAGATTACAGGCGTGAGCCACTGCGCCTGGCCGGCTCCTCCTTCTTATTCCTTCTGTCTTTTTTTCTCCTACTGGAGCACCTCAATTGACTGATCTTCATGTTTGCTGACTCCTTCTTCTCCTAGTCAGGTCTGCTCTTAAGCCCCTCTGGTTAATTTTTTTTTTTTTTTTTTTTTTTTTTTGAGACGGAGTCTCACTCTGTAGCCCAGGCTGGAGTGCAATGGCGCGATCTCGGCTCACTGCAACCTCTGCCTCCCGGGTTCAAACAATTCTCCTGCCTCAGCCTCCTGAGTAGCCGGGATTACAGGCATGAGCCACCACACCTGGCTAATTTTGTATTTTTAGTAGAGACGGGGTTTCTCCATGTTGGTCAGGTTGGTCTCCAACTCCTGACCTCAGGTGATCCGCCTGCCTTGGCCTCCCAAACTGCTGGGATTACAGGCGTGAGCCACCGCGCCCGGCCCCTCTGGTTGACTTTTAATCTGAGTTATTAAACTCTTCAGCTCCATAATTTTGATTTCGGGCTTCTTTACAATTTTTATCTCTTTATTGATACTCTCTGATAAGATGTCATTCTCATACTTTAGTTCTTCAGATGTGGTTTCCTTTAGTTGTTTGAACATATTTGAAATGATTGACTTAAAATCTTTGCCTCGTAAGTCCAGTGTCCAATGTTTTGGCTTCTTTGGGGACAGTTTCTATTGATTGCCTTTTTTTTTTTTTCCCGTGTATGGGGTATGGGTCCTAGCTTCTTGTTTCTTTGCATATCTCTATTTTTTTTTTTAACTAGAGTTTTTTGTTTGTTTGTTTGTTTGTTTGTTTTTGAGTCTGTTACCCAGGCTGGAGCGCAGTAGTTCAATCACAGCTCACTGCAGCCTTCACCTCCGGAGCTCAAGGGATCCTCCCTCCTCAGCCTCCTGAGTAGCTGGGATGATAGGTGTGCGCCACCACGCCCACTTAATTTTTGTATTTCTTCTAGAGACGGGGTTTTGCCATGTTGCCCAGGCCAGTCTCCAACTCCTGAGCTTGAGCAACCCACCCGCCTCGGCTTCCCAAAGTGCTGGGACCGCAGGCGTGAACCAGCGCAGCCGGCTGGAAAACTGGAACTCTCATCGGTTGAGAGTGGCAGCTCTGGAGCTCGGACTCCCCCACCTCCCCAGGATTTGTCATTGCTGCTGTTTGTCGTGGTTATCTGTCAGGTAGCTTTTCGGCACTAATTCTGTAAAGGTTGCGTTCTTTCTTGTTTATGGCCACTGCCGTCTCTGTTCAGTTAACTGAGATAGGTGGTGATGGGGCAGAAATGTTCTTGAATGCCTGGGGCCAGTGAGTCTCCCGTCTTTTCCGGGGGCTGTGTGTGTGTGTGTGTGTGTTGGGGACGCCTTCAGCACTCGGCCAGGCAGTGGACAACCCAACTGTATGCCTGACTTCCTGCTTACACAGAGCCTCAAGGTCAGCCAGAAGTGAGAGCTCGGGGCTGGCTCAGGTCTTTCCTGAGCACGGGCACGGCTCACACGTGTACACGGCTGCGAGATGTCCTGGAATATCTCAGAGCTTTTCAGAGCCCCTAGTGGCACCTCCTTCTCCCCAGCTGCCAGGCACTGCCTCAGGCAGCCACAGCGTTCAAAAATCACCTGTAAAGGTTTCAACAGGCACACCTCGGCAAACAGCTTTTTTATTCAGGAGAGCTTCAAGTCAAATCAGAGACAGCCTTGGGAGTGGACTCTTAGGTCAGATGCTGACAGTCCTCTGGGAATGGGGCCCTGGAGGAGCTCAAGCCCTGGCCCACCCCGCAGCGGCTGCCAGGACGCTGTTCCCACGGGGACTGCAGCTGTTGGTTTTTAAGGCTGCAGATGGAGTGGGAATAGGGCATGTAAAATGCCACAAAGCCTGGCTGGGCACAGAGGCTCACGCCTGTAATCCCAGCACTGCAGGAGGCCAAGGTGGGCGGATTGATTGAGGTCAGGAATTCGAGACCAGTCTGGGCAACATGGTGAAACCCCATCTCTCCTAAAAATACAGAAATGAGCCGGGCGTGGTGGCGCCTATAGTCAGCTACTCGGGAGGCTGAGGCAGGAGAATCACTTGAACTCGGGAGGCTGAGGCACGAGAATCGCTTGAACTGGGAGGCTGAGGCACGAGAATCGCTTGAACTGGGATGCAGAGGCTGCAGTGAGCCATGTTGGTGCTGGTGCACTCCAGCCTGAGCAAGACCTTGTCTCAGAAAAAAAAAAAGTTCACAAAGCCCACTGTTCTTACTAAGATTCAGCTGTTTTTCTTGAATAAATGCTCCCCGTGCTACTGTAATTCTTTGGTTAACTTTCAGAGTTCTGGAAAGTTGGCTTGGCGCTTTTCGCCGTCTCTCTCCTGCTGCCTTGGGGTCCTTTCCGTGACCGTTTCCCTCCCTGACACGTGTACATCCCTGTGTATTTCACATCTCTCTATGCTGGAAAGAGGTTCTCCACTTCTAGTGCCACACCACGGGGGTCTTTCTGGCTTTTTCCCTGTTTGCATCTGCAGCTCCCTTCCCTGGCAGGGAGAAACCTGCCCCACTGCCCTTCACCAGTTTCTTCACTGAGTCAGCCGCCCCTTCCTATGCAGACACCCCTCACCCCTCTCTGGCCCTGCTTCAGGCCCCCCTTCCCCGCCGTGTGGGCTTCTCGCTGTCCCCTAAGCCTTCGATGTCCCCTCTGAGCCACCGCGGCCACGGCCAACAGGGATGCCTCCCTCACCAGCGCCTCCTGATAGCTCTGGGCCTGAGCTCGGTAGAGAAATGGAAGAGGAAGGTATATGCAGTGTTTGACTGTCTCTGTTTCTTGTCTCACGTCACAAAACAAGACTGAATTTGGATTTCTGAACGCGACTGTGTTTTCCTCGGGAGTAATGAAATTAGGGCTCCATTTCCTTCGCTGTTCCCAAGGGAAAGGTCCTGCTTAAACAGGTGCTTTGTGAGTGGAAACGTGGCCAGAGTGCGGCGGGTGCTTTGTGAGTGGAAATGTGGCCAGAGTGCGGCGGATGCTTTGTGAGTGGAAACGTGGCCTTCTCTGGAAGCCCTGGGGAGGGGCTTTCCGACTGAGAGGAAGGCCTCGCATCTGCCCACCGCCCAGTCCTGGGCCTCACAGTGAGGATGCAGGTCACGCTGCACAGATGAGGCCCGTGTGGCAGGTGGTCCCAGGAACGAACTCGCCTCCCGCCAGCCCCCTGGGCCTCCCATGGCCCCAGCCCCATCAGGTGGAACGTGCACTGCCTGCGTTTCAGAAGGGGCGGCCTGGGGAAGGGGCGGCTTGGGCACGCTGCCCCTCACCACCACGCGTGACCCACCCATGTGTCTCCCTTTCAGAGCGGGAACAGCTTCCACGTGTTCGACCAGGGCCAGTTTGCCAAGGAGGTGCTGCCCAAGTACTTCAAGCACAACAACATGGCCAGCTTCGTGCGGCAGCTCAACATGTGTGAGTGCTGCCTCCAGGCAGCGCAGGGGTGCGGGAGGCAGACCTGCAGATGGCGGGACCCCAGCAGGAGGACCCTGTGATGAAGGACGGGGCGTCCTGTGCTGGCCAAGGGCATGGCGTGGGACCCTGCAAGCCTGGGGGCCGGGGAGCAGCCGCCTCTTCCATGGGGGAGGGTCCTTGTGGGTATGAACCTGGGGTCCCCATGGAAGAACCGTGAAGCCGGAGCTGTACTCCACGTGTGTCGGGCGCAGGGAGCCCTGTGGGGACACAGGGTCTCCCTTAGACCAAGGCCACTCGGCCACCCAGGCATGGGCTCTGAGGGGGCAGGGCAGGGTCTGACCATGGCCAAGCCCCGCAGCAGCCTCCTGGAGCAGTGGCCGCTCTTCAGGGGTTCTGGTCCCGCCCTGAGGCAGAGCTGCCCCCTTCCCTGTTATGTGCAGATGGCTTCCGGAAAGTGGTCCACATCGAGCAGGGCGGCCTGGTCAAGCCAGAGAGAGACGACACGGAGTTCCAGCACCCATGCTTCCTGCGTGGCCAGGAGCAGCTCCTTGAGAACATCAAGAGGAAAGTGACCAGTGTGAGTGCCGGCCCTGCACCCTTGCCCGGTCTCACCTGCCACAGCTCTCCCCGCCCGCCCCTCCCTGAGGGCTCCCACCCCAGCCTGCCCCTTCCTGAGGGACCTGGCTGCAGTGGACGAGCCTGAGCCTGCCAAGCTCCTAGGCTGCTCCAGTGACTCCTGTCCCTCTCGGGAATCCAGGTGTCCACCCTGAAGAGTGAAGACATAAAGATCCGCCAGGACAGCGTCACCAAGCTGCTGACGGACGTGCAGCTGATGAAGGGGAAGCAGGAGTGCATGGACTCCAAGCTCCTGGCCATGAAGCAGTAGGTCCCACACCAGCATTATGGGCCACAGCGGGTCCTGGCGCCCACCAAGAGGCCCCGGGTGCTGTGGGGGCAGGGCCCTGACCGGGGCCAGGTGCTCAGCTCCACCCTCCCGCTCCACGCACATCTACCCTGGGCCTCTGCCCCAGCCCCGCCGCCCGTGGCTGCTGCAACAGCTCTGGGGCCAGCCGTTTTCCATGTGCAGAAGGGGGTTGGGAGGGTCCCCTGCTCTGCACATCCCCAGCGCCCTCTGGGCCATTGGCTTCTGCCTGGCTCCGAGCTTGGCGGGACCCACCAGCCTACTTTTGAGGACAAGCCTTGCACAGCAGACCCGTCCCACCCGCCTCGGGCCTGGGGTCAGACCCACCTCAGGCCCTTCCTGGAACCGCTGTCCCACACTCGCCTGGGCCCATGGAGCTAGCCCCCAGCCCCTCCTCACCGGGACCCTGCGGCTCTGGGGAAACCTTAGCAGGAGCCTAACACACGGTGGCACCTGAGAAACTGAGGCAAGCCCACCTCGGAAGGCCAGCTCAGGTCTCACGTCCACTTTGGGGCTCCAGGCATGCGGGAACCCCAATGCCAGTACGGCTTCCTCGGCTCCGTGCAGCAGGCGCTCTTGACCCCCACGTCATGGAGGAGGCCTTGGCCTCAGACTCTCCTGCATGGGGTCTAGCAGGAGCCACCGGCTTTGTGATTCCTGGAGTCCGGCCACGTGGACCTGGCCTACCAAGAAGACTCACAGGCTTGACAGGGCCCAGCCTCCCAGAGCAGCAGGAGCGCGGTCATGGCCCTGCTCACCTGGCTGGGGACAGCTCTTCCCCACCCCTGAGCCACCTCCAGGCCTGGCGAGGGCCCTGAGCACCTACAGGACATGGGACAGCCAGTGTCGCAGCCTGAAGAACCGTCCTCCCTTAACCTGGCTGCTCAGGCCTTGGAAGGGCGGCCCAAGGGTCTGCTCCTGGCCTGTGTCCAAGGCAGCCCTCCAGGTGTTTGCCAGGATGGATGCCAGGATCCGGGTGCACCTGGCTCGCATGGATCCATCCCCAACACCCTACGTGACACCAGGTGTCCCCGGCAGGGAGGGGCAGTGGGACCAGCAAGCCCTGGCCCTGGCCCCCAGTCCCTCCACACACAAGTTCTCATCCTGGGGTGGGCCAGGCCAGACATGGTCACACTTACCCCTGCTCCTGCATGGGGGACAGGGAGGGTCTGTGGGGCTCCCTCAGCCCTGGGGCTCATGGGATTGGGCCCCACTGACCCAGCCTGGTCTGTTGCAGTGAGAATGAGGCTCTGTGGCGGGAGGTGGCCAGCCTTCGGCAGAAGCATGCCCAGCAACAGAAAGTCGTCAACAAGGTGGGGGCAGGGCCAGAGGGCCGGCGGGGGCCCCACAAGGGCCGGGGTAACTGTGTCCTCTCTCTCCACAGCTCATTCAGTTCCTGATCTCACTGGTGCAGTCAAACCGGATCCTGGGGGTGAAGAGAAAGATGTGAGGTTTTGGGGATGCCTGCATCCACCACCCGGGGCCCAGGGCTGTCCCCCTTCTCTGTCAGCTGTGCCCCGGGTACCCCGAGGTGGGGGGTGGTGGCTGACCTGCACCCTTCCCCACAGCCCCCTGATGCTGAACGACAGTGGCTCAGCACATTCCATGCCCAAGTATAGCCGGCAGTTCTCCCTGGAGCACGTCCACGGCTCGGGCCCCTACTCGGTGAGTGCCGGAGACAGGGCACCCGCCCAGGCATGCAGGCGGCAGTGGGGTGGGTTGCCCCTGCCGGCACTGCATGGACCTCCTGCCTTTGATTGCAGGCCCCCTCCCCAGCCTACAGCAGCTCCAGCCTCTACGCCCCTGATGCTGTGGCCAGCTCTGGACCCATCATCTCCGACATCACCGAGCTGGCTCCTGCCAGCCCCATGGCCTCCCCCGGCGGGAGCATAGACGAGAGGTGGGGGCCGCATCACCCCAGCCATCCTGTCCCCCAATGAGGCGAGCCCCTGTGGGCCCAGGGCAGAGTTGGGGATGAGGTGGGGCTGGCCGAGACGCCAGCTCACCTGGCCCCCCTCGTGTGCAGGCCCCTATCCAGCAGCCCCCTGGTGCGTGTCAAGGAGGAGCCCCCCAGCCCGCCTCAGAGCCCCCGGGTAGAGGAGGCGAGTCCCGGGCGCCCATCTTCCGTGGACACCCTCTTGTCCCCGACCGCCCTCATTGACTCCATCCTGCGGGAGAGTGAACCTGCCCCCGCCTCCGTCACAGCCCTCACGGACGCCAGGGGCCACACGGACACCGAGGGCCGGCCTCCCTCCCCCCCGCCCACCTCCACCCCTGAAAAGTGCCTCAGCGTAGCCTGCCTGGACAAGTGAGTGCCGCCCACCCCTGGCCCCACCCACAGCGCCTGGACGCACAGCCCTGGGCTTCAGCCCCGACTGTCCCAGTGGACTGAGCAGGGCAGCTGGCGAGGCAGGACCCTACCCCCAACCTCGGAGCTCGGGGCTGGGGAGGGAGACAGGTGCCAGCCAGATCACCCCACAGTCCCAAACGCCACAGAAGCCACGGGCATGTCCGGACAGGCTGCCGGGCCCTGCTCTCAGCCACCCGTCCTGCTGCCGCCACCCTCGCCACAGGCCACGGGCCCTGGCAGGTCGTGCTGCCCAGACACATGGCAGGAGATGGTGAGCAGGGCCGGCCTCCACACCCCCAGCCCCTGCCTGCAATGGGGGCTCTTGTTTTTGTATCTTGCAGTTTGGCTCGCACTCCACAGATGTCTAGGGTCGCCCGCCTCTTCCCCTGCCCCTCTTCCTCTCCGCATGGCCAAGTCCAGCCAGGGTTAGCGCTGACCCCACTGGGGAGGGAGGAGGGCTCTGCCAGCGCTCGGGCCCTCCCACACAGCCGTGGACCAGACCCAGCCTGGCCGGGCATGAGCGTCGGGCCTGGGCGGCAGCAGCCGAGACCCCTCTGTGGCGGGGGCTCAGTGTCGTCATGGCTCCCCTGGCCACGGGCCTGTGGTCATTGCCTGTGACAGGGATGACAGGGACAGGCCTCCCTGCTCTGGCACGGCCTCTGGTGTTGGCAGGATCCAGACTGCGGTGCTGACTGCACTTCCTGTCAGGCAGGGTCTCCAGGGCACCTCTGGGACCCAGCCTGGCTGTCCGTCCCATAGCCCAGGTGTGCCCTGTGGCCTAGGGCTTTCTTGGTCACAGCCACCAGACCGTGGGTCTCATCCCCACAGCAGCACCAGGGCAGGGACTGAGCCACCCACACACTGAGCAGAGCCCCACCTGTTTTCCCAGTGCAACGGGAAACCTCACCAACCCTGAACACTGAAATCCCTGATCCTTGTGCTGGAGCTGAATACGCCCCTTGTCTCCTGGGTCCACTGCCACCAAGGCCCCCAGGCCCTCATGGCAAAGGGATGCCCAGCATAGGCCCAGCCGCACCCCTGCAGGGCACAGAGCCTCCACTGCCTTCCAGGCCGTCCTCGAATGCGCTGCCCCCTCCAGCCTGTGCAGGCGTACACGGGGGTGCAGCCTGGGGGGTACAGTCAAGGGGAGCCCTTCTCCCACAGGAGGGCATTGGGGTGTGGGGCCTGGGGCACTGGTTCAGGTACCGCCTTATCCCGGGCCAGGAATGAGCTCAGTGACCACTTGGATGCTATGGACTCCAACCTGGATAACCTGCAGACCATGCTGAGCAGCCACGGCTTCAGCGTGGACACCAGTGCCCTGCTGGACGTGAGTGGAGCCCCGCCGCCCCGCCTCCCCGCCCCGCCTCCCCGCCGCGCCGCCCCGCCTCCCCGCCCCGCCTCCCCGCCTCCCCGCGCCGCCGCCCCGCCTCCCCGCCCCGCCTCCCCGCGCCTCCCCGCCTCCCCGCCCCGCCTCCCCGCCTCCCCGCCCCGCCTCCCCGCCCCGCCTCCCCGCCCCGCCCCCGGGTGCTGTTCTGACTTCCCTCCCTCCTCCGCAGCTGTTCAGCCCCTCGGTGACCGTGCCCGACATGAGCCTGCCTGACCTTGACAGCAGCCTGGCCAGTGTGCGTAGGCGGGCGGGGGGTGAGGGGGAACGAGACCAGCGGGAGTGCTCACAATACCGTCTCCACCCCACAGATCCAAGAGCTCCTGTCTCCCCAGGAGCCCCCCAGGCCTCCCGAGGCAGAGAACAGCAGCCCGGATTCAGGTGAGCCAAGTCCCACCGGCCCCACCTCTGCCCCCAACCCCCCACCGCCTTGACACCCCCACCCCCGCAGGGAAGCAGCTGGTGCACTACACAGCGCAGCCGCTGTTCCTGCTGGACCCCGGCTCCGTGGACACCGGGAGCAACGACCTGCCGGTGCTGTTTGAGCTGGGAGAGGGCTCCTACTTCTCCGAAGGGGACGGCTTCGCCGAGGACCCCACCATCTCCCTGCTGACAGGCTCGGAGCCTCCCAAAGCCAAGGACCCCACTGTCTCCTAGAGGCCCCGGAGGAGCTGGGCCAGCCGCCCACCCCCACCCCCAGTGCAGGGCTGGTCTTGGGGAGGCAGGGCAGCCTCGCGGTCTTGGGCACTGGTGGGTCGGCCGCCATAGCCCCAGTAGGACAAACGGGCTCGGGTCTGGGCAGCACCTCTGGTCAGGAGGGTCACCCTGGCCTGCCAGTCTGCCTTCCCCCAACCCCGTGTCCTGTGGTTTGGTTGGGGCTTCACAGCCACACCTGGACTGACCCTGCAGGTTGTTCATAGTCAGAATTGTATTTTGGATTTTTACACAACTGTCCCGTTCCCCGCTCCACAGAGATACACAGATATATACACACAGTGGATGGACGGACAAGACAGGCAGAGATCTATAAACAGACAGGCTCTATGCTATGGCCTCCATGTGTTTCCTCTGTCCCAGGGTGGTGCGGTGGGTGGTGCTGCAATGAGGAGGGGCCCAGGGCACAGAAGGGCCGGGCTGCAGTGGCCTCCTGGGGGAAGACGGATGCTTGCAGCTAGCTCCGTGCCTGCCCGACTCCCCAGGACCAGCATGTGCTTGCAGTTCTTTATTGAGGGACCAGGGGTGGGCGCCTCACCTTGGCCCTGGGGGTCTCTGGTTGTCACAGGACCACCAGGAACCCCCTTCCCAAGGTGTTCGCACTCGGACAGGTGATGCGGGGCGGGCACACTGTCTTTCTGCCAGAGCCAGCACCCTGTGTAGGCACGGGGAACGGGAGCCTGTCCCGTAGCTTTAGGGTTCTCCACTCAGCCTGGTGGAGGAAGGGAAGGGGGCCTGCGCTGGGCAGTGGAGCAGGCTTTGCTGCTTTATCTGGCAGCAACAGTTTGTTCTCGAGCTCCACTGGCCAACTGATAGGGAGAGGCACAGGAGCCCATGTGGGATGGAGGAGTCGGCCCCACACCCATCCCCCCACCAGGAGCTCACCCACTACTGCCATCCTCAGCAGGGCCCAAGGAGATGCCTCCATCTCAGGGCCCACCAGCCCCCACTGGGGTAGAGGGAGGATACCACCAAGGGAGCCCACCCTCCCCTCACACCACCAGTTCAGCAGGTTGCTGATGAGGCCCCTGGTGCAGTCCTGGGACCCTGTGCAGGGCCTCCTCAAACACCTGCCTTGTTGGGCCATAGCTGCAGGTCTGGGGACACCAGGGCCTGGTCCAGTCTTGGGGTCTTTAATCAAGCAGTCACCCCAGCAAGGTAAGGCAGCAGCAGGGCCCTGGGGTTACCCCTGACCTCCCGCTACCATCAAGGGGGGCCCCATCTATCCAGCTTGGTGGATTGCAGGGCCTGGGAACAAGGTGTCCTGAAGGCTGCAGGGCTGCGCTGTCTGCACTGCCCAGCCTGGTGCCAGAAGAGCAGAGGGCAAGGCAGGCCTGGGGATCAGGGGTGCCCCAACCTCGTGGAGGGCAGCTGAGAGCCACCAGCCCACCTGGCTGCCCAGGTTCCAAGTGAAGGAAAGAGGCTGCCAAACCGAGCCCTGCCCCAAGGCGAATAGCCATGGACATAGCCATTGTGTACCGTAGCCCCTCGGCTCACCAGACCCACACCAGAAAGGCCCTGTGGACTGCCCATCCCTGGGCCATCCTGGCTGGAGCCCACTTCCCGCAAACCCAGGGCCGACCTCTTCCCAAGCTGAAGCTGAGCACGGTGGGTGCAAGTTGACCATCCTGCACTGAGGGCCAGAGTGCCGATTCCCGCACACCCAGCAGGAGTAGCACCAGGAGAGGACGCCTGAGCTGAGCTTTTCTAGGTAGGGGAGTGTGGGGAATGGGGGCGTCTGCCTGGCCTTGCACTCCCCCTACCGGCCATGCCCGCCCTGCTGCAGTGGAGCTGCTGCTCCCCGGCAGGTCCTGGGACAGCTGTCCACACAGCTCTGGCACTCGCCCTTGTGGGTGTGGCCATACCCCCCACCAGGCCCCAGGCCCCTGGCAGGCTGAAGAGGTCACTGGACAGCACTTTATTGACACCCTCGGACCCGGGGCAGGGTCAGCAAGACTCCCAGCTGGCATCAGACTGTGTCTGGCCTGCTGTCGCCATCCCTGAGGGGTGCAGGACAGAGCCCCATAGGGGCAGAGAGGCCTCCCTGGGACCAGAGGAGGATGCTGTGCAGCCAGGCCCATCCCCAGCACTCGAGGCCTAGGAGGAGAGGTGGGCTCTGGCAGCGGGTGTGAGGTGGCAGTGAGAAGCCAGGCCCTCAGGTGCAGCTCAGGCCTCTGCCGCTGGGGCCTCATAGTTGAGCACGTAGTAGTCGTGGACGTACATGAGGACGGCTATTGGCTGTCCGATGATGAGCGACAGCCACACAGCTGCGTTGCCATAGTTGCCCTGGAAAAAGCGGCCCACGAACCAGGCCAGTGGGATCTAGGGAGTGAGGGGCCAAGTCAGTCGGCCATGGTGACCACAGGGCTGGGGGCTTCAGGGTCCCTGGGCATGGGGAGGGTCAGCCGAGGGGTTCAGGTGCGGGGTAACTGGGCGAGTGAGGAGGCCACGTGGGGGTCACTCACCTGAGCCATCATGCCCGTGAACGCCCAGAGGCGGAACATTCGCAGAGGGACGCTCACCAGGTACTGAGATGGGAGGGAGAGAGGATGCCAGGGAGTGGGGTGTCAGCCGTCCCTGCTGTGGGCATACCCCTGCCCAGGGATGAGGCAAGATGCCCCCCAGAGCACTGACCTCGTGGAAGAAGGCCGAGGCCAGGAACACCCCTGTCCTGGCCATCCACTTGCTGCTGCCCCGTCGAAGCATGGGCTTGTAGAAGTGTCTGCAGAGGAGGGGGCATGGAAAGCGGTTCAGGTTCACAGCCATGTTCCACATCACACACACACACACCCCACCTACCTGATGCACCACTTGTGCACAGGGATGTTCCAGTTCTGCCAGAAGTAGGTGACAGACTCGGAGTTCCTGGGGGCCAAGAGACCACAGGGGGATCAGAGCACACCATGGCCCATCCCAGCCCCCAGGGACACCCCAGGGACACTCACCACCAGTCCCGGTAGAACTCCCGGTCTCCAAACTGCATGAGCTCAGCCACGGCATTCAGGCAGGAGTGGAAGAGCCAGTAGAAGAAGATGAGCCAGATGAGGTGATTGGGGACCTGGCAGGGAGGTGGGGGTGGGCACCAAGTTCTAGAACCTTCCCCCACATGCCACTGTCCCCTCCTGTCCTGTGCATGCGCCACCTGTCCGCACTCACCGCCAGCTTCAGGAGGCGCTCGATGATGCGTGAGTAGTCCATGTCCTGCAGAAACAAGCCCTTCAGCTAGCCATGCTCCTGGTCACTCCCCAGCCACCCCAGCTGCAAGAGCACCTGAGCCACTCACCTTGAAGGGCTTCATGGAGTTCTGGATGGTGGGGACCATCCACTGCAAAGGAGGGCACCACGTCAGCTCCCAGCCATGCCCAGCTACACCCAACCCTGCCCTACCCCACTTACCTGCTGGATCAGCCCCACCTGGAGCTGGGTGAAGAACAGCTGGGGGGGAAACAGAGAGCAGCCAGCTGAGGCCCTGGCTAGCCAGAAGGCCCCCTAGCCTCCAGTGGCTGCCCCCAGCCCCCAACCTCACCATCTCAAGGATCCGTCGCAGCAGAAAGCGCTTCCGGATGCGGGGAGAGCGGGGAAAGTTGAGCTCGTAGCACAAGGTGGGGGCGAAGAGGAAGTAGTAGAGATCTGGAATGGGAATGGGGGGTTGGTACCAGAACAGGCCCAGCCTGTCCCCCGCACCTCAGGCCCACAGAGGTCCTCACCGCGGTAGGTCAGATTGTCCGGGTAGCTCACGGTGTGCGGGGCAGCAGCACTGCTGGCCTTCTTCCCTGCAGAGGCTACGAGCACAGCAGAGTGGGAGGGGGCTGGTGGGGCCCTGCTGCTGCCCAGCCCCCCAGCAGGCAGCCCCAGCCCCTGGCAGCCCCTCACCAGCCTTGGCCCTGGCCCTGCGGCACCATGAGTTGACGTCGCGGTAGGAGAAGAGCTTGAGGAAGAGGATGGTGTGCGCCATCAGCGCCAGCAGGGAGCCCACTGCAGGAGAGGTGGACTCAGGCCTCCACAGCGCCACAGCCGGAGGCCATGCCCGTGGCTGGCCCGAGACAGATGGGCAGGGTGGGATGGGGGCGCACCTGGAGTGATAGACTCAACCAGTAAGACCACAGCCGCTGGGAAACACAGAATGGTGGCCAGGTTGGCCACGTGCAGCAGCAGTCCCGCCTGCTCCGTCAGGGCACCCTGGAGTGGGGAGCAGAGCACTCAACCAGGGCTCCCATTGCCTGGGAGAGGGCTGCCAGGCCTGGGGAGCAGCTCCTCCCAGGAGCGCACACAGCAGGGTGAGCACACACGGAGGTGAGGGGCACTGCTTACCACCGCCAGGCGCTTCTCAACCTGGAATGCAGCCACAGCAAAGACATTGGCCGCTGTGGACAGAAGCACCAAGGGGCAGGTTTAGGGCCACGTCAGCCTGATCCCCACCCGAGGCCCTCCTCAGAGCCCAGCTCACCAATAACCAGGCATGGGGCGGGCCAGCTATAGGGATCCTTCAGGAACAGAGAAACCACCTGGATGGGGTCCACCAGGATGCCATACCTGGGGGTGGAGGGATGGGGGTCTGAGTGGGTGGCAGGTGGGGCTGTGGGGCGGGGCCTGGACAGGCCATGGGTGGGGCAGGGGTGGGACCTGGCAAAGGCACTCACTTGATGAGGTTCTCCAGAAATAACCGGGCATTGCTCAAGATCTGCGAGGGATGGACAGGAGGGTGCAGCCCCTTTAGTCCTGGCCACAGGGTACTCACCCCAGATCCTCCCAACACCTCTGGGCACGTCCCAGCCCGAGCTCAGGGCGGCAGCCTCAGGCTTGCAGACCCAGCCCTGTCTGGTCTCCATGCCAAGCTCTGAGACTCAGCACCCACCTCAGCCAACACCAGTGCTGGGTAAGGGGAAGTCCCTCCCTGTCCCCATCACACCAGACGGTCCCACATGGAGGGAACCAACCGGCCAGACCAACCAACCCTGCCAGACGCCTGGGTCTTCAGGAGCAGAAAGACCAGCTGCTGATCTGCTCACATCCCTCCTGCTGAGCCGAGCCAGTGAGGGACCCAAGGCTCCCACAGCCAACCACACCCCAGAGACAGCCCCAGAATACAGGCCTGCCCAGGGAGGCCTGCCCACGGCTGAGCCCCAAGGAACCAGTCCCTACTGGTGGCCAAGGCTGAAGAGGGGGAGTTGTCTACTCTTTCTCTGCAGGAGCAGTGTCCAGCTGTGTCGCAAGGGGGGCTGGGCCTGGAGTGCTTCCCAGGGCTTGTGCCCCGCCTGCCTCTTCTGCTTCCTGCCGCCCTCTAAGCCTTGGACACTTGGCTCCAAAGCAACTTCCCAGGACTGAGCCCCCATGGAATAAGGCTCTTGGGACGAGCCTGGAGTTGGGTGCTTGGCCTCCCTCTGCAAGGACAGGAACCTCCTCCTCCATCTTACAAGCACTACCAACACCTCCATTAAGCTGGGCCCCAATGCCGCAGACCTGGCTGACCACCCGGAGCTCGGGCCTCATGCGGTAGTGAACTGGTGCTGGGGAAAAGGGTCGCTGGCAAGGGAACACTGAGGGTGTCTTGCCTGGGTGGTCAGGGAAGGCTTCATGAGAGAGAAGACTGCTTCAGAGACACAAGGGCTACTGCCCCGCCTCCCCCGGCCGCAGGGCTGACACACAGGCCTTCTGCATGGACACGTGGCCCACACTGTCACTGGCCTCTCCCGAGGGCTGACAGCAGGCAGAAGCCAAAGCTGCCAATGGACGGTACCCACCTCCAGGCCCAGGCCACAGAAGGAATGCAACAAGCAGCCCAGAGCGGGATACATGCCTGGGGTGGGGGCATGGGGGAGCCAAAGCAGGGAAAAGGCTTCAGGGCTGGGCCAAAGGGCCAGGCAGGCCCAAGGGGTTGGGGAGAATACACAGTGCTGCCTGGGCTGGACAAGGCCCAACCTGGGCCAGGAATGGGCTGCGTCTCCTGAGTGCTGGGCTGGCGCTGGGCCCACTGTCCTCCTGCCTGGCCAGCTTCTCAGCCACCAGGACTCGTGGGCCTCCACAGCTGGCCACCCCCAGGGAACCTTCTAGGACCATGGGCGGTGGGGGATGTGGATGTGCGTGGAGCCCCTTCCACGTGGGTAGCCACAGGAGCAGCACCCAAGGCCAGAGATAGACACGCCTGGGTGAAGGTCAAAGGCCTCGAGCCACATCAGCCCTGAGTTGGGGAGGCTGGGCCCAGATAGCCCTTGTCCCCGACCTGCCCTGCAGGTGCCCCTTTGAGCCCTAGACTCCAACTACTTCTGGGGTGGGGCTGGCAGCCCCACCCCACGAAGTGCCAGTGGGAACCAGGCCCAGAGGTAGCAGGCCTTGGACGTGGCACAGGGCTCCATCTAATCACCTTCCTGGGGGGCTCCTAGGACCCACAGCTGAGGGAAGGGGCCAGGAGGACTGCAGAGTGGTGGCCAGGCCTGCAGGGCTCCATACCCACAGAGGCCATGTGGCGTAGCACAGGAAGCTCTTCTCACATCCCCTGCCAGAGAGGCCTTGTGTCCACAGAGCATGCAGTCCACTCTCCCACCAGCCCAGGGCAAGACCCCCTCCACCCTGCCCTCCCTGGAGGCCCTGCACCCCTCAGGCCCAGCTCACAACACACAGGCTCCAGCCAGGCACTGTTCGGCCTCCCCACGCCCACACCACATCTGCAGGGCTCTCCTGGGATCCAATGGGAAGCAGCAAGTATGTGGTGCATGGGCACCCAAGTGACCACAGCAGGGGCAGCCACTGCCACTCCCCTCCCCAACAGTCCAGTGCTGGCAGCCACATGGAGGTGCAGCCTGCTCCACACACCCCAGCCCACAGGGGCTCCAGCCTGGACACCCTGGGTGACAGAGCCTGTTCTCAGGCAAAGGCCAGCCTGGGACAGAGCCCCACCTGGACCTAGACCCGCTCCCGACACCATGTCCCACTCACCAGCATCACCACACACCAGTTCAGGATGCCACGGTAGTTGCTGAAGCCACTGTCAGAGCTGAATAAAGAATCCTGCAGGCGATGGCACCTGACAGAGCACAACACAAGCACCCCCTGAGTGGGCACCAGCAGGGCAGCGCCACCCCCGCAGGATCCAGGCCCCCACCCCAGTGTCCTCGTCTGCCCTCAGGCCCCACTCCTTATTTACAACCAGGAGGAGAAGCCAGGCAGAGCCACACTGTGGCCTCAAGACCTACAGTGGGCAAAGCTCTCCGGACCCCCAGAGCCTGCACCTCCAGGCAGCGGGACGAGCATGTCAGGGTCAGAAGCAAGCCCAGCTGGCCCTGCCCGGACTGGACCTACATGGAGCTTGGACACTCCAGGCCTCACTCTCCAGAGGCCTCTGGCCACTGCCATGTACTCTGGCTGTGGACTAGCACTGGGGCCACAAGCAGGGTCCAACCTGGGGATGGACCAGGGGGCACTGCCCAGCACTGTGGGGACCAAGTGGTGAGGGTTGAGTCCACCCTATTCAGTTGGCCCATCCCAGCACCCGGGAGCTAAGGGGTCCCCACACTTGGACGTGCAGGCTCAAACTGGCAAAGGCAGGCCAGGCGCCAGCCACACACCAGCCTGACATGCACTTTCCCAGAGGCAGGGATCCAGCCCTCGTGTGCCGGTGTAGCCTCCACTTGTTTGTGATGTGTGCCCAGGCTGAGGGGGCTGAAAGGAACCCACCCGGGGCTAGGTGCCTGCTGGCTGAGAGGCTTCCAACAGAGGCAGGCACCCACCCATGATCTCCCAACCAGCGCTGGAGGGGCACAGGCAGACCCTGCCTGGTCCTCAGCATACTGCACAGGTGGAAGAGGGCACCCAGCCCAATAGAGGGACTGCCATATAGCTAGGACAAGGACAGCAAGAGCTTGGCCAGGCCCCCACACGTCCTAGGAAGCAGTGCTGGCTCATATACACTAGCTGCAGGCCCGCCTCACCCCCCATCTGCCGTGCCACTGGGACACCACACACAGCATTGAGCAAGTCCTCAACTTTGTAAGAGGAGAGGCCAGAGCCTCCCTTTCCCTCCCGCACACGCACATCTGCCCCTCAGAGCCCCTAGGCAGGGAGAGTGGGCCTGAGAGCCATGGCAGGAGCCCCATGAGGCAGACGCCCTCAGGGCACCCAAGGCAAGCTGGCTAGGATTGGGGTCGGCAGTCAGACGGCCCTGCCCAGGAGGCAAAGGGCCAGGGAGGCCGAGAGGCAATGCCAACAAGCCCAACCTTTGCTCCCCAAGACCAAGGTTGGTGCAACACATGCCCCATCTACACCTACACAGTTCCTGGACAAGTCTACACTAGTCCCCAAGACCCCCAGGCAGGGAGGATGCTCACACCTTTCCCTCTGCCCATCTAGACTGGAACACAGGGGCAGGCAGCTCCACCCAGCCCCTGCCTCTCCCAGCTCCAGCCTGAGCGCCCTGCATCCACCCACCAGGTCCATCCTGGGCCATGCAGTGAGGCTGTGGTCTCCACCAGAGCCTCCCTCCTCCCCAAGTTGGCAGCTGTCTTCCCAACTGACCACCGCCCTTGGCTCATCTCCCCAGCCTACTCCACTCACTGCCTGCCCACAACCAGGAGGCTGGGTGTAGACACCGCCAGAGCCCCAGCACCGTGACGGGAGCAGGGGCACGAGGCCCAACTGCCCAGCAGCCTCTCTGGGCTGTCTGTCTGGGGGCCTCTCCACTGCCCCCTCTTCCCCAAGTTCGAGCCCATTTGTTTTCAGCAGAACAATCCCAAGCCTCAGGGTTGGCCTTCTTGTACCACGACCTACCAACCACAGCTGTTTCACAGCAGTATGACCCCTGCCCCCTTTGAGCCACCAAGGACACCATGCTGGCTTTATCCATGCCCATCTCCAAGATGAAAACAGGAGTCGGGAAAGGGTGGTGCTTCCCAAAGCTCACTGCAGACAATCCTACACAAGCTTTCTCAGGGGCCCCTTGACAGGCTTCCAAGGCCTTCCTCAACCCAGCCACAGCCTCACCTCAGGCCCTTCACAGGCCTGACCAGCCCCACCCAGAGGCAGCACCCCCACTGCGCTACCCCTACCCCTCACAGGCCCCCATGAGGAGGAAGCCCCAGTCCACCAGTGCCCACAGAGCTCCAAGCAGTCAGTGCGGCCAGCAGCATGTGGGCTACAGGGCAGGCTGCATGGAACGGCATGGGGAGGTGGGATCTGCCCCTGTGCCTAGAGCACCTTTATCACCCTCTCACTGACTGGAGGATCTGCCCAAGCCTCTGCACCTTCCAGCTGTCCCTACACCCACTCCCTAGTCCAAGAAGACTCGGAGCAGCCTGCCCTCCCTCCTGCAGCCCCCAGGCCCACCCAGCCAGCAGGATCCTCTCAGTCTCACGGCAACACTGAGACCTTGGCACATGCCCACCCGCCACCCTGTCTCCAGGTTCAAAGTGTGCCCAAAGGCACAGGTCCCAGTGAGTCCCACACTTGGGGCCCACACAGTGCAGCTCCAGGGCCAAGCACAATGAGGAGGGGGCAGAGTCCAGCTCTGCTCACTGCCGCCTCCTCCACTCTGGCCTCTGGGCTGGGCCTGGGTTCAAGATGGTTGGGGCAGGCTCCCTGCACCTCGCAGACCCTGCTGGAGAGAGAAAGGGAGAGTCAGAAAGGACACCTCAGGGACAAAACACCCTGGGAGAAGCCAGAAACCGGATGGCCCCGACTGGGGTGCCTGTGAGCAGAGGGCTGGTGGGTGTGTGCAAAGAGCCTGGCAGGAGTGAGCCACAAGCAGAGCAGAAAGGGGTGCCCTCTCCTGCCTGCCTCACAGCCTCACCTTGCCACGGGGCCGGAAGAAAGGAGCTCACACCCAGAGCCCAGCCCTAGGTGAGCAGGAAGTGTCCGTGAGGGGAGGAGGCCCGAGCTCAAGGAGTAATGAGGAAGCGGGAGAGGAAAGGCTGGGCTGGGCCAAGAGCAGCAGGAAGCTGGAGGGAGGGGAGGCTGTGAGGCTGACAAGGGGGTGCGCTAGAGGCCAAGTCCCAGGAGGGCAGGCAGAGCAAGGCCTGACGCAGACAGCAGGGAGAAGAGCCCAGTGTCCACAGCCAGTGGCCGAGCCCTGCTGCATCCCTAGGTCTGAGGGACAAGCACACATAGCCTGCAAGTCCTGGAGACCCAGGAGCAGATAGACTTTTGGTCTCAGCCTCCAGCCCCATGAAGGCCTCACCTCTCCATCTACTGCCCCTCTTCCCAAGGAGACCCGACCTCCACGGCAGGGACAGGGACTCACCAGGCCTCTCCCACGAGCTCTGCACCCATCCCACACCAGCAGAAGTACAGGAAAGCCTTGCTGGTTTGCAAAGCAAGAAGGTGACTGCTCTCCCCTGCCTACCCCCAGGTGGCGGCTTGGCCCAAAGCTGGGACTACCCTCATCTCACACTAAAAAAAATCTCAATTCCCGGCCGGGCGCGGTGGCTCACACCTGTAATCCCAGCACTTTGGGAGGCCAAGGCAGGTGGATCACCTGAGTTCAGGAGTTCGAGACCAGCCTGACCAACATGGAGAAACCCCATCTCTACTAAAAATACAAAATTAGCCGGGTGTGGTGGGCGCCTCTAATCCCAGCTACTCTGGAGGCTGAGGCAGGAGAATCACTTGAACCTGGGAGGCAGAGGTTGCAGTGAGCCAAGAATGTGCCATTTTACTCCAGCCTGGGCAACAAGAGCAAAACTAGTCTCAAAAAAAAAGAAAAGAAAAAAAAAGAAATCTCAATTCCCACGTCCTCCACAGGTCATGTAGCCATCCCCCTGCCTCCTGGAGAGAGGGTAACTCCAGGAGCCACACCTCCTTTTCAGGTAGGAGGTGCCTAGGCCAGCCTCCCTCACCAGCACCCCAGGCCCACAGCAGGCAAGCACCCCTCTCAGGAGGGCCACCCTCCTCCCCACGGCCCCTTCAAGGCCTCCGTGCCCGACCTTTGTCCATGTTGCTCCATGCCTGACTCTCGCTGAGGTTATCTTATCTCCCAGATGAACTGAGCACCCTGAGGGCCACGACAGTGCCTGCCCTCCCCCAACCCCCTCCCCATGGTGCCCCGTGAAGGAAAGCTCTGTTCTTGCTCACTGAGAGAGCAAATCATTGCCAACTACATGTCCAAAATCAGCCCACTTCTGCCTTGATAACCTCTAGGCCCTCAGCTGCTCTCTAAAACAAAGCCCTGAGGGCCCCTGGGCCAGGGTAAAGGCCATAAAGGGGGGATGGAGGGTGGCAAGGGGATTGCTCAAGGCCAGCTTGGTGGAGGAAGCCAATGCCCAGGCTGGCCAAGTCCTTCCCATCGGCCATGGTTCTCTCCCTCCACCCCTCTCTGTCAGTCATCCAGCTGAGCAGGGCACACGCCTGCAGGTGTGTCCACCACCCCCATACCCCACTCCCCACCTGGAGGATGGAAGTCCCAACACAGAACCCAACTCTCTGTCCCTACAACAGACGCTGGCTCTGGCAACATCGGCAGGGCTCCAGGCCAGCCTAACCACTGGAGCAATGAATGGGCCACGCAGCCACTCTCAGAAGGGTCTGCAAGGACAAGAACGCCTCTAACACTGCCCCTTGTCCGGGGCAGCTGCTGATTCCCCTGTCCTCGGACAGGCCTGGGCTCCTCTGGCCCCCTCCCTGGCAGGCCAGCCCTCCTCTGGGAGCCTTTCCTACCCGCAAGGCACCGCTCATAGCACCAAGAAGGAACCTATCACCACAAACTGCCCAGATCTTATCTGACTCCTTCCATATAAGGGGACACTGTCCAGGGCCGGGCCCCCACCAGCCCGCCCCTCGAAAAGCTCCTCAGGAGCCCCTGAGGATGCACAGACCCAAGAGGATCTGGATGCGGGACACCTGCCGGCTCCCCTCTGCCTGGCCAAGGCCAGCTCCAGAGCCCCTACCCAGTGACCTTGTCAGGTGACTCTCCCCAAGCCTCAGTTTCCCCACAGGGCCCATAGGGCACACCGATCCCCGCTTAGCCCAGGGCCCATGTTCTCGGACTCGGAGCTCGCGCTTCGGCCAACCCCGGAAAGTCGCGGGGCCCTTGGGTCAGAGGTTAGGGGGTCAGGCGCTCCGCTACCTCAGCTCCCAGTGGCCGCTGCCCACGCCGGCGTCTCCGTCCTTGTTGGGGGCCGGGGCTGGCGCGTCCCCCGCGGCTCCCACGTCGGGGCCCGCAGCGGCGTCCCGCACCTCCTCTTCCGCCGCCGCAGGCCCGCCGCCGCCGTGGCTCGAGGGCCGCGACCCTGTCCTCCGGCGCCGGGAGCTGCCGCGGTCGCCCATGGCCTCAGCCCGCACCCGGCCGCAGCCAAGCGTGGGCCCGCCGGGTTCGTAGCGCCCGAGGCGCGCGGCCCCACCTCCGGGCCCTAGACAACGGCCGCCACTGCCCCCTGCCGGCCGCCGTAGCCCGGGTGACCGCCTCACCAGCGCGTTCAACCCGCCCGCGTCGGGCCCGTCGGCCTCAAGGACAACGGCTGCGTTGCTCCGGAGCCGCTAACTAATGGACGGCCGCCTCTCTCGTCCATTTGTAGTCCGCGGCCGACCTGAGGCGGGGCCTGGAGAGGCTGACGGGGCGCAGGGCACCCTGGGAGTCGTAGTCGCCGCGGGCGCGCCGGCGCAGAGCACCCTGGGAGTCGTAGTCGCCGCGGCCGCACCGGCGCAGAGCACCCTGGGAGCCGTGGCAGCTCCCAGGGCCGGGGCTGCGGGCCGCAAGTGCGCGCAGCGGGAACGGACCTTGCATCGCTCCCGCGTGGTCCCGGGGTCCTGTCCGGCCCCACGGAGCGGGATGGTCCGCTGAGGGGTGCGCTGGGCCCCGACTTCCTGGCCGCTGTGCGCCCGCCCCTCGTCCCACTTGTGTACACACGGGGTCTCGGCGAGTCACTCCGGGCAATCATTTAGGAAGCGCCTAGTGCGCCACGGTCCAGCTGTCCGGGCCGGTGTCCGCGGCGGCTCGCGTCGCCCGCCACCCAGCGCGTTGGTTTCTGCGCACGCAGCTTACAGTAACGTCCCTGGCGCGCTTCTGCTCCGCGAGCCCTCTGGTTACCCCGGCAGGAACCTGCTTTTCTTCGCCTTAGGGGGACGTCAGACAAGGGCCAGGTCAGAAGACCAAGCTGGAGAAATGCACCAGGCCCTGCGTCACCGGGACGCCTGCCTTGCACGCGACTCCCAGGCTCTCCACCTCCCCGCCTGCAGAGCCCGGCGAGAGGAGGGCGAGGGCGAGGGCGAGGGCGCAGGCCCCTTGGTGGTGTCTTCTCAGCCCACCCACTCTCTCCACAAGGAGCTCCACGTCCCTCAACTCTCAGGGCCTCCCAGTTTCCAACGTGGGCCAGCCTCTCCAGGATGTCAGAAGTCTGGGCCGCTGGATCGCCGGGACTCAAGAGGCTTCTGTGCATTTGCACGGCCTGTGCAACCGCCCTGTTGTTTTTTGTTTTCTTTTTTCTTTTTTTGAGACAGTCTCACTCTGTCGCCAGGCTGGAGTGCAGTAGCGCGATCTCGTCTCACTGCAACCTCCACCTCCTGGGTTCAAGCGATTCTCCTGCCTCAGCCTCCCGAGTAGCCAGGACTACAGGCGCGTGCCACCACGCCCAGCTAATTTTTCTGTTTTTAGTAGAGACGGGCTTTCACCATATTGGCCAGGCTGGTCTCGATCTCCTGACCTCGTGATCCGCCCACCTCGGCCTCCCAAAGTGCTGGGATTATAGGCGCAAGCCACCGCGCCTGGCCTGTTGTTATTTTTTCTAAAGATGGGGGTCTCGCTATTCTGCCCAGGCTGGTCTCGAACTCCTGGCCTCACGCAATCCTCCCACCTCGGCCTCTGAAGGTGCTGGGATTACAGGTATGAGCCACTGCCCCAGACATCTTGTATGTTAAATGAAGCAACTAATCAACTGTAACAGCCACAGTTGCGGCCCACCTTGGCTTGGTGTGCATATTGCACAGGGCATGGAGTGAGAACATCCTGGATCTCAGGATGCCAGGGTTCACTGAGGACTCTGACTCTAGAAACACCTTCATTCCTCTGGGGTGAGCAGGGGCAAGCAGCACTTCTCTGGAAGCAAACAGGTGCTCCTCCTGAGGTGGGGTCCTCTCCCGTGGGCTGGTCACAGCCTCGCCTCTGAGCTCCGTCCTCTTCCACCACCTCCACCAACAGTGGCCAGCAGGGCTGCCCCCTTGGTTGCCCCCCTGGTGACATATTCTTGTCACCACAGGCCGCTGTGGGTTGCTGCCAACCAGGTATCAGGCAGGCTGGAGCTACCTGGCAGATGCCCTTTGTGTAGCCTGCCGAGTGGGGCCGCCCTCACTGGACCCAAGAGCCCCTCACACATGGGCCTTGGTCGGTCAGGACCAGCCCCATCTCCTACCCAGTCTCTCAGAATATTCATTTGTTGAATGCAGTCGCTGGCAGACACACTCTGTGGCCAGGTAGGCCCAGACCTGTCTGAGTATGGACTGACAGCAAGCTCAGAGAGGTCTGGACCTGGCCACGGAGCACCTCATGCTAGGCAGAGGAGATCAACGACTCAACCTGTGGTCGCGTCCCAACTCAAAGCCGGCAAGTGGCCACAGGAGAAAGACAATGGGAGGGTGGACTGGACCACCAGGGAGGATGGGTCGGGCCTGGTGAGCAGAGCCAGGCTTGGAGCCAATGGGGAAAGCACTGGCTGTGGGCGGGCCATTAAGGAAGGGCTTTGCCACCGGGGGTGGGGGCGTGGCGGGGCAGCAGCTCCAGAGGTGGGTGAAGCCCTGCCCAGACAGGCCCTATACCCTGGGATCTAGGGTGAGGGGAATGGTCAGGGTAGGTGAGGTTGGTTGGGGACAAGGGTGTGTATGGCTGGGTCATCGAGGAAAGCATGATGCAGATCACCCTGCTGGGGGCAGCAACAAATGAGGGGGCCCAAGCCCGAAGCGAGTTGCCTTCCAGGGCTAGTGGAATAAAGGGCTGGAAGTGGGTTGGGGCCTCAGGCTGATCCCAGGGCCTAGGGGCCATGGGTGGGCCAAGAAGGCCTGTGAGAAGCAAGGGTCCCAGGAGAGTTCACAGCCAGTGGTGGTCTATGGCCTGTGCTGCTCATTCAGAGGGAAACTTGTGTCTGTGGCTGGGAGGAACTGGGGGGTCGAGCTCATCCCAGGCCTCAGGGAGGCCACCTCCATCCTTCCACCCACTCTACGCATCAGAATCCTGGAGAAGTAGAAACAGCCAGTCGCTGTTGGAGTCCTTTGGAAGGAGTGAGGCTAGGAGCCTTCCTCCTGGCCATTGCTGTCTGCCATTGTCATTGCTGGTAGTGCTCTCCCAAAGAGAGCACCCACCTGCACCACAGCTCCTCCAAGTGCCAGGCACACAGGCCATGACATGCTGCAGACCTGGTTCCCCTGCTCTCCACCCTAGTGGAGTCTGGGCAGGTCTGTCCCCTGTCCCTGCTAGGGTGTGGGCAGCTTTGCTGGCCCTGGATCTAGGACTGACCTGGTTTGAATGTATGTGCCCGAAGACTTTGGGCCTCTCGGCTCATGCCTGCCTACCTGGTTACCAGGGGACATTGCTGGGCAAAGGGTCCCTGTCCCTTATCTCCTCCACTACTCATTCTGTCTAGAGCCCTTGGGCGATGGTTGCAGAAGCCTCTCTGCCCCCTGGGCACCTCCTCCCTGGAACCGGTCCAACCCAGCTATCCATGGAGGCATCCGCAGACACTGGGGGAGCATATCTGGGAAGCCTGGGGGTCAGAATGTGGGCAGCAGGCCACAGGAAAAGGGCCAGACCTCGAACTCTCCACTGTCCCCATTTCCTGCAACAGCATCTCAGAGGGCTTGAGGTGGCTATCAGGCCTTCCATCACAGCATAAAGCTCCTTCAGGGAGAGAAGAGCGAAGGCACCCAGGCTGGGGAACAGCAGCTCCTACTATACCTACCCTGCCCACTCTGGTCCAACCGTGGGCTTGGCCTGACTTTAGACTGGAACCCCTTAGTGCTCCTGTTCCTGGTGTGGAGCAGATCCACCTACCCCAGGGGAAATGCCAACTACTTTGCCTTCAGACCTGATGCTCCTGTGGTTGGGCCTGCCAAGCCTGCCCTCCCCAGTGGAAGAAGAGGGCCGTCTTGTGAAAGGCCTCAGGCTGACCCTTGCAGCACCAGCCTCTGAGGTACTGCCAGACTGGGAAGACCCTCCCAGCCACCCAACAGCGTGGGCCCAGCCCAGGACACATCAGCCCGACACTCCAAATTCTATCAAGAGTGGCATTTATTCTCCTTGTGGAGGTGCGGTGCTCCGGGGAGCTGGTGCTATTGTGCTTAGGAAGGAGGTCTGTCCGTCCGTCCGTCTGTCCGGCCGGCCTGGCCCCAAATGGGGGCGGAAGAGGGGCACGGCCCGAGTAAAAATCCCGGCCTATTCCGGGTGGGAATATGTACAAGGCGGCGGGGCACAGGCGGGGGTGGGGGCGGGCGGGCCGGCGGCCGCAGCCCCCACCCGAGGGCCCCCGCACCTCGGGCCCTACTTGTAGAATCAGTACAAAATAGGTGCTACCTAAACGTTCCTTCTACCTGAATTCGCTAAGTCGGTTATTGTGCTGCTTAGTTATGGGGGCGGGAGGGGGCCCATGGCTTTCCACGGCGGCGGGGTGTAGGGGGAAGCAGGAGACCCTGACGGGCCCACAGCCCTCCAGCTTTCTCCTTAGGTAGGTAGACAGGAGTATGGGGTGGGGTGAGGTGGGGGCGCCTGTGTGTGCGTGTGCATGCGGCACAGGTGGGCAGGCCCCAGCTTGGGAGCTGTGCAGGCACCACACCTGGTTGTGTAGGGTGTTTGGATGTGGGCACTGCTGTGCAGAGCGGTGGGTCATCCTTGTGGGGGCAGCCACGCTTGCTGCTGGGGGTGAGGCTGGCCACACCATAGGCTACAGCTGGCACCTTCTTCTCCAGCCATGGCTCTGCCCCTGGCTGGACATGGCAGATGTGTGTTGGCCAGAGGATCAGAGAAGTGGCCACCTGTGTGGGGGCCCAGGAGCCCTGGATCTGTCCCCCTCAGCTGGAGTCAAAAGGCCTAACTCAAAGGTAGAGCCCAGTTGTGCCCAGCAGGGACTGGTTGAGGTGGGGAGGAGTGTAGGGGGCATGTGAACCTAGGGACCTGGTCTCTCTGCATCTGCCGTTCTTCCCTGGCCCACCCAAGCCGGTTGGACCCCTGTCCTGCAAACACACCTCCCAGCAGGTGGCTGCGCTCCTGGCGGACTCAGCAATTGGCCTGGCACATAGTAGGTGCTCAATGAACGGTCAGTGAATGATTAATGCCTGAAGGAGGGGTCTTGGGGGCAACCACCCCACCCCCGCCCATGGAACCATTACAGCCGCCGGGCTCTGCCGTGGGGGTCGGGGAGGGGTGGGGAGAAAGTCTGCGCGGCCGGCCCCGCGCAGCGTCCCTGATCTAGGGGCCTATGGGGTGGGTAGGGCGAGGGGATACCTGATTCTCAGTAACTCTAGAGGCGGCGGCAGCTTCGCATGCAGTGCGCATTATTGCTCTATAGTCGGCTTCGGACTACCTAAGAGGGAGGGGGAGCGGGCAGCCCCGGGTAGGATCGGGAGGAGGGGTGGGGCTGCATGCAGTGACGTCACAAAGGCGGCGGCCAATGGGGCGGGCCCTTGGGGCGGGGTCGCCGCCGAGGCTTTGGCATAGACGGGCGAAAGTTGGCAACCGAGTGGGGGCGGGGCCTGGGTCTCAGGGGCGGGGCCTGGGTCTCAGGGGAGGGGCCTGCCTCGGAGAGGCGGGGCCTGAGGCTCCCTAGAGGCTCCCAGCTAGGGGCGGGCCTCGGGGCGTGGAAAGTAATCCCGGACATCCCAGGCCCCCGGCGTCGGCGGGCAAGATGGGGGTTCAGCGCCCCCTCCCTGACCCGAGTGCAATCCGTTCATAAATAAAACGTACAAATACAGAAAAAGAAACCCGACGCGTCCGCAACCCCCCCAGGGGGCTTTACCCGCAAAGCGAAGACAGAGGTGTGTAGAGGGCAGCGCCCAGGCCTGCCTGCCGGCCCCGGGAATCCGTCCTCCAACACGAATGCCTGGGGTACGGGGGTGGGGGGTGGGGGCCCGGGGCAGGGCGGAAGCGGGGTCTGAGGAGGTCGGATAAGTCCATGCGATTCGATATGTGTCATTATTATTCGATATGGAGGACAGAGCCCGGGAAGCTGGGCTGGAAGAATTCGGATTTGGCAGAGGATGCGAGGCGAGGGTAGGAGGGCGGCTCCGACTGAGGCCCCAGAAGCAACCCGAGGGAGGGGGTGCCGCCGTCCGCCCCTCTCCCCGACCCACAACGCGTCTAACACTGCCGGGAGTTCCGCGAAGGCTGCTAGGCAGGGGCGTCCCTGCAGGCCCGCCCGCTCCTGCTCCGCCCCGGCCTGCTGCCGGGGAGGGGCCGGCTCCCTGGACGTCTGGGCCGCAGGCCCTGCGCTAGAAGGCTTGGGAAGGGGTGGGGAAGACCTGAGTCCCTGCGACGCGATCCAGGGGCGCAGAGGCGGGAGAAGGAGGGCGCTCCCTACCTCACCTCACCCCCGTCTTCAGAGACCCAACTCGGAGATGAGGTTCGGTTCTAGGTCTCGTCGACCCTATTGCTGGGAGAAAGCCGGGGGCACCCTGGAGGGGAGGGGAGGGGGCTCGGGGTGGGTCTCCCCTCGGGACCCTATTGCTTGAAGGGGCCGGCAAGGCCCCTGGCGGGCGGGGCGGGGTGGGACCGGGCCCCCCTCCCCCTATTGCTGTGAGGAGGGGCCCGCCCTCCGGCCCCTCCACCCGGACGCCAGCGAAGACTTCCCTGGGGGGCCGTATTGCTGAGAGCCGACCTGGCTGGGGGAGGCCCCGCCGCCCTAGGCCTGCACAGGGCTGAGCTGTGGCGGCGCAGGAGCCGCGGGGCCTCCGGCGCCGCCCTTGAAGCAGGCCGACTCGTAGTGCTTGTTGAGATAGGACTTGAGCGCGAAGCTCTTCTTGCAGCGCTTGCACTGGAAGTGCTTGAAGGCCGAATGCGTCTGCATGTGCGCGCGCAGGTTGGAGCGGTCGGCGAAGGCCTTGCCGCAGTGCGCGCAGCCGAAGGGTTTCTCGCCGGTGTGCGAGCGCATGTGGCCCTGCAGCAGCCAGGGCCGCGAGAAGGCTTTGCCGCACACGCCGCACTTGTGGCGCAGGTCGTGCGTGAGCAGGTGCATGGCCATGGCCGGCATGGACACGTACACCTTGCCGCACGTCGGGCAGCGCCGCGCCAGCTGGCTGTCCAGGCTGCGGTGCGTCTGCTTGTGGCGGCTCAGGTTCGACGACGTGGCGTATGTTTTGCCGCACTCGCCGCACGCGTGCCGGCCGCCAGCACCTGCGGCCCCTGGCCCCGCGCGCGCCTCGGTGCCTGCCCCCGCGCGCGTGCCGCCCCGGCCCCCCGGCCCGGATCCCAAGCTGCGCCCGCCCGCCCCGCCCCCGCCTCCGGCGTCGCCGTCGGGGGCCGCCGCCGAGGCTGTGGAGGGAGCGGCGGCAGCGCCGGCATTGGAAGCCTTACGCCGCGAGCGCCCGTCGGTGATGAAGAAGGCGTCCGCCGCGTAGCCCTCGCTGACGGCCGCGTCGCCGTTGATGTAGCCGCCCGCAGCGGTGGCCAGCTCCGGGCGCGGGGTGGGCGGCGGCGCAGACCCTGCAGCCGCCGGACCCAGCTCTCCACGCACAGCTGCTGCGTACATGGGCTCCGGCGACGGCCCTTTGAGCAGCGCAGCCTCGGCGTCGCCATCGTAGACGGACGAGGGCCCCACGTAGTCGCTGAGGTACCCTGCGGGCGGAGGCGGACGGACAGCGGGAAGGGAATGGGGCGGCGGCAGGACACACACGGGGGATGGGGGGGCGGGAGACAGCAGACGCGGACCGGGAGACCCGGGTCCGGGAGAGAGGCGAACAGGGAGGAGGACAAAGGAGAGGAGGCCGAGGGACCGCCGGGCAGGGAGGATGGAGACAGCAGGGAGGGGAAGAGAGGGGAGGAGAGGATGAGACAGGGCCGGGCCACGCTCCGCCCCCGCCGCCCCACCCTCGCAGAGAGGAGGAGAGAGGCGCGTCTTCGGGCGCGGCTGCCCCCCTTCCGCGGAGCCTCAAGGTCAGGGGGGAGGGGCGGCGCTTCCCTCTCCCTCCTCCCCCACCCACCCTCCCCTCCCCCTCGGGTTCTCCCCACTTCAGCAGTTTTCCCTGATTATGCAACACACTGCAGACCCGCGGCGCACAAAGCCAGGACTGCCGGCCCAGGGACCCCGTCTGTCCCACCTCTCCGGGGTCCTGGCCGGCTCTCCCTCTGGCCTGCAGAACGTGCGCTCCATTTTGATGTTGACCCCCTCTGGCCTTCTGGTTCCTCCAACAAGCCCTGAAGACGTCTCCCTCCCCCAGTTCCCTCCGGCCTCACCAGCACCTCCCTCAGCTCTCCGGCCACCCACTGGACTTGACCCTGCCCTCCCTGCTCCTCCATGCACTCTGCTTCTCCTCCGAACTCCCTCTCACCATCCTGCACCCTTGGGTCCTACCCTGTTCAACATTGCCCTCTCCTGCTCACACCCTAACCCCTTTCAGGGCCTTCCCAAGCCCCTGAACTGTGCAGAGAGGGCCAGGGCGTCCACTTTCACAGGGACGAGCTGCAGGAGGGCAGCATCACTTATACCGGTAGCTGCAGTTGCTCCCCAGGCACAAGATGGATCTCATAACCTCAAAGTCACAAATGCACGCCCCTCGCGACGCTCTGCCTCCTTCAGGGCTACACCCAGTCTCCCAGCATGATCAGCCCTTGTGTGCCCTCACAGGGTGGGCTGCACACTGATGTGCCGAACTCACCACCTCCTCACTCACGCAGGGTCACACATGCAGTCACCCCGGACACACTCTCAAGTCACATGGTGCACAGCGGCCTCAGAGTCACATGGTCCCATGTAGTGGCACACAGGCAAGCACACACACACACAGGGTCACACACAAGCGCACACGGTCACATGGCCACACACAGTCACATGGACCCACACAGGCTCACACTCCTGCAGGTCACACTTGCTCTGCCACCCCATGCTGCTGGCACTCCTGTCCCCCTCTCCTGCATGCTGACAGTTGTCCTTGAACTTGGGCACCCTTACACAAAGAGCCTCCCCCTGCCTCCCACACCTTGGGCGTCCCTTGCTCACAGCCTCCTCCCTGCTTCCTCTCCCTGACCCAGGCTTCAGGGAAGAGACTGCTGCTGCCTCTGCTGGCCCTCTGCTCTGACAGGTGGGCGGCCCTGTTGGACCCCCTGCCTACTCCCTGGAGCTCCCTGCATTCCCCAGCTAACCCTAGCAGGTGTCCTGGTGCAGTCAAGGAAGAGGAGAGGGTGGCGAGGCGGCCCTGGTCTCTTGAGTGTAGGTCTGTGTGTGCCGGCATGGCTGGGTCCCGTCATGGCAGCGCCCATGCGGCTGTGTCTGTCCCAGCATGGGTCAGGATGTGGGTCCATGTGTGCGTTTGGGTACCTCAGTTCCTGATCCTCTTCCCCACCCTCTGTCCAACGTCGACACTCTCCCTGCCCAGCCTTGGCCTCTGTGTTCCCCTTCCTCCCCTCTACCGTCCAGGCTCCAGCCACAGACTCTTGCCGTTTCTGGTTCCCTTCAGTCTGTTTCCCCGGGCCCTGCCCTCCGCCCCCACACTCTGGCCCTCCACCGCTTCCAGCAAAGCCCCAGGCCCCGCGCCCTGGTCTCAGACCAGCGCTCACCTTTATCGTGCAGTGGCGCGCCGAGGTCGCTGCGGGCGCGTCCGTAGGCGCTCTCCAGGTCGGCCGAAGAGAACGCGTCAAGTTTGACCTTCTTGACCAGGAAGGACCTGGGCATGATTCCTGCGGGGCTCCGGCGCTGTGGGCCTGCGGAGCCGGGGCTTGGGGGGGCTGCGGCGGCAGGGCCCCGTCACCATCCGAGGAGCGGCGGAGGCAGCGCGGGTCCCCACTCTGGCCTTTGGATGCTGCCGCGCGAGTGGTGTCCTCTCTCCTTGCTGCCCTGCGTCTCCTCCGTTGCCCCTCCGGATCCCTCTTCTTCCTCCTTCCTTCAATCCTTCCTTCCTTCCTTCAATCCTTCCTTCCTTCTCTCCTCTTCTCTCCTCTCCTCTTCCTTCCTTCCCTCCTCTGGTCCCGGCTTCCCAGCCCGCAGTGCCGCCCCTGGACAGGCGGGGGAGGAGGCTGGGGGGGCGGAGAGGGGGGGAGCGGCTCCGTCCCGGGCCTGGAGGCTGCGAGTGGGTGCAGGGCTGGCCCGGCTCGGTGGCCCCCTTCCCCTCCCCCCCCCCGCCGCCGCGGCGGAGCCTCAGTCAGCGGCCCCCCATGCCCCCGGGGGCGGCGGCGCCGGGCCCGGAGAACGCGGTGGCAGCGGCAGCGCCGGCAGCTTCAGCACCGCGGCCAGCGCCGGCCTGGGCAGCACCGCGGCCAGCGCCCGGGCGCGCTCAACCGGCGCGGGCGGAGAGGGGCGGTCCGCGGGGGTTTGGCCGCCGGGCAGGGGTCCTCGGCGGGGGTCTCTGGGAGGCTTGCTTTATTGTTCTGCAGCCGGAGCGAGCGGCAGTGGCGACGGCGGCGGCGGCGGCGGCGGCGGCGGCGGGCGGGGGGCGGGGGTCCTGGGGGGAGGGGTGCGCAGGGAGGGCGGGCCGAGGGAGGGAGGGAGGGAGGGACAGGGGCTCCGGGGGCGGGGCTCGGCGCTCGGACTGCTCCTGGGCCCGGCCTCCAGAGCCCGCAGCCGCCTCTGCCTGCGGCCCGGCCCAGCCTCTGGCTTTTAAAGCCCAGGAGCTGGGGGAGGGGGAGGGAGGTGGGGGAGAGGCCGGCGGAAATGGCTGCGCTGGGCCGAGCCCCGGCCTGGGTCTCCTGGGAGGGGTCCCGGGGATGCCTCAGCCTGCGCGAGTGGGGAATTCCCCCGCGCGGCTCGGGGAACCGCGGCCCGGCAGCCAGCAGCATTGTCGGGCGTGTGGGGAGAAATGGAGCCAGGCCTGGGACCCAAGCGCCCCGGACTCGGGGTCTTGTGGGGAGGAACGTAGGGAGGACCCCAGTCCCGCCTGCCTCGCTCGGGGCCTGGGGCGCGGGATCTGCGGGGGCGGGCGGGGGAGGCGGGAGCCGAAGGAGCAAGTGCTGAGGCAGCGAAAGCGCAGCGCGCGCCCTGTGCCGCAGTGGCTCCCGCCGCTCGGTCACCCCGGCTGACCCCGTGCACGCTGGAGGGGCCTACCCGCCCCCGCCTCTCTCCCCCCGGGCGGGTGTGCGGCGCAGCGGCGTCGCTGCGAGCCGGGTGTGGAGCTGGAGAGGGGCTGCCACGACCCTGCTCCAGAAATTCTGCTGCTTTGGGGGTTTTCCGCCCTTCCGCGCGGCTGCAGCTCCCCACGGCAGCCCCGCAACCAGGCGGATAACCCTTTCCTCGGCCGCCCGCCCAGCGTTTGCAGCCCCCATGACGTCAGGCTCAGCGGCCAATGGCGGGGCGCCGGGCGCGGGGGCTCCGGGGCTCCGGGCCGCACAATGGCCGCGCGCGGGTGCCTCTGTCCCCAATTAGGGCCTGGCGCCGCCATTGTCCCCTCACCCGCCCCGCCCGGTGGTCCGGGTCTACGGGCTCCGAGCGCGCTCCCACGCGCCCCGCTGCCGCTGGGGACCAAGGTCGCGGGGGCGGCCCCGGGGAGCGTCCGGGCGCGGGTGTGCCGGGAGCGCGTGCGATACTGGAGCGCGCTCGTTGCGGCGCAAAATGACCTTGCGCGGGGCGGACCCGCGGACAGCGGCTGGGAGCGCGCGGCGGGCGGGCCCCGGGGAAGGCGGCCTGCGGGGGCGCGCTGCACTTGCTGAGCTCAGCGCCCCGCCCCCGGCCGCCCGGCCCCGCGCGGAGCCCGGGTGGGTGTGACCCGGCCCGCCCGCGCGGGGGGTGCGGCGGAGACCACGGACCCGCTTTGTGCCAGCCGCCCCGGCCCCGGCAGCGGCGGGACATTCATCTTGCGTGGCAGGCGCTCCCGAGGGGTGGGGGCGGGGCGCGGCCGCCCCCTTATCTCCGAGCGGCAGCCGGCTAGGCTCGCGGTGGGGGCGGGGGCGGGATCCCCCTCGGCCGCGCCGCGCGGGTCCTGGCTCCCTCCCAGGGGGGGGCCGGGCCAAGGCACAGCCGGAGGCGTGGGGCCAATTAACATTTTGATTGCGGGACTGGGGGGCCATCTGGACCGAGGCCTAATTACCCGGCAGACCCTCGGGGCGCCGGCGGGACGTGCCAGGCGCGATCCCCTCATGACCCAGCGCTCACCGCCTTCTCCCGGACCCTGTCCCCGCCCTCAACTCTGTCCTTCGACTCCATCCTTGGCCTCCTCCGTTCGTCCTAGTATTCTTGCCTCTCTGTCCCCACTCTCCGGGTCCTCCGACCCCCAACTCTGTCCCCTTCCCCCATTCTTCCGTTCGTCTGCCCTGTCCCCCCACCCCCCGTTTCTCTCCTCTGCTCCTCCCACTTCGTCCCTTCTCCCCGCGCCATTCCTGTCGCCCTGCACTCACCCCGTTTCCTTGTCCCTCCATCCACCCTCTCAGCCCCTTCCTCTCCTGCCTCTGTGCACATACCTGCCTCTCTCTGTCAAGCTCCTCGCCCCTTTTGCCCCCAGTCCCCTTGACGGAAGAGGCATCACAGCGGCACACATGTGTCCCGTGGCCAGGCGCTCCCGCGGGAACCATTGGGGCGGCCCTTGCTCCCGCTCGGGTGGAGCCCGCAGCCCCCCGGGACCCCTGGCGGGGAGGGACAGCTGGGTCCAGGCTTTGGCCATCAGTCTGCACCGACCGGGGTGCGGAGCGCACATGCGACCCGGGCGCAATTACTTGGGCCTCCTCGCCCCGCCCCCCCACCAGCATCCTGATCCCCCCCCTTCCCCCTCACCCCCAGCATCAGGAGGTCGCTGTGGTGCCCCAGTCCTGGGCCCCAGCTAGGAGAGGCTGAAGGAGGACAGTGGACGATTCTCACGCTTTGGAAAAGTGTCAGCCCTCCTGCATGGGAGGCCTCCCCGAGTCTCTTACTGAGAGCTGGGGCCTTGGGAGGCTTTGTTGCAGGAGAGGAGATGGTCAGGGTTCCCAGGCAAGGCTGCCTTGGTCCCCAGCCAATTAAAGTCCTGGTCCCCCTAGCCACTCTCTGCAGAGCCCCTCTTGGGGAGTCTCTTCCTGCCGCCCTGATGCAAGCCCCAGTTCTGCCCCCTTGTCCCTTCGGGTGGGTGCAGTGTTGGCTCTGAACCCTCCGTGCCCTCTGCTGCTGGCCGCACCTCTCCCTGCCCCTCCCAGGCCCCATGTTGTGGAAAGGTCAGCCATAAGGGTCAGGGGTCCCCACTCTTGTGTCTCCAGCACCCCACCCTCAGCAAAGCCAGAGCCCCTGGTGTGCCCACCCTCAGATCCTGCAGTTGCATTCTCACCCACCCCTGCCCTATTGAGGCTCCAACCCAGGAAATAAGTGGACAGCCCAGATCCGAGGGTCCACCCTGCTGGACAGAAGCGATGGGCAGAGAATAGGGTGTTGAATGGAGGTGACAGGTATGGGATGCAGTTACTGGTGGTGATGGAGCACAGTTGGGTTAGAAGATGAGGACATTGACTTGGAGAAGAGATCAAGGCTTGGAAGGGACAGGCAGTCTGCAGTGGTTCATCCACGAGAACATTAGACCACCAGGAATTCAGGCAGCGATGGGTGGGGACGAAGCCATAGTGAGAGCTGCTGCTGGGTGGTTGGTGGCCAATGACACGTGCTCCAGCTGGGACGCTCAAGGAGAGGAGGGAATTGGGGTCTGCAGGCCTCAGCCAGGAGCACAGGAGTATTTGGGGGAGAGAGAAAGCAGCCCCCAGAGAGGACTGTGGGGAGGGACAGCATGGAAGGAGGGCCCTCAGCAGGGAGGACGTGGGGTCGCTGGGGATGGAGCCCCTGGGGAAGGTTTCAGGATGGGGGGTGGGTCTGTATTCCAAAATGGCTCTGGTGGGGTTGGGGGGTAGGCATGGGGACAAGGGCGTGAAGAGTGGCCCAGAAAAGCCGGTGGGCAGACTTGGTCCCTGCTGGGCAGGAGCTTTGGAGGACCCACAGGAGCAAGGTTGCAGCACAAGTGGAAATGTGCGTGTGAAAACCAGAAGCAGAGAGCGAGGGCAAGTGTCAGTGCCAGAAAACACCTGCACTAAACATAACAACAGGTTAACATTCTGATTGTCGGGAGAAATAACTGGTATAAATGAACTTTTTACAGAACAAAGATGCTGAGACTCCAAAGGGCTTAGCAGGTGATTGACTACAGAAGAAATAAGAGATCTTCTTAGGAATCACACACATGCTGGCTGGGTGCAGTGGCTCATCTGTAATCCCAGCACTTTGGGAGGCCAAAACGGGTGGATCACTTGAGGTCAGGAGTTCGAGACCAGCCTGGCCAACGTGGTGAAACCCCGTCTCTACTAAAAATACAAAAATTAGCTGGGCGTGGTGGCGCACACACCTGTAATCCCAGCTACTTGGGAGGCTGAAGCAGGAGAATTGCTTGAACCCGGGAGGCAGAAGTTCCAGTGAGCTGAGATTGCACCATTGCCCTCCATTGCACTCCAGCCTGGGCAACAGAGCTAGACTCTGTCTTTAAAAAAAAAAAAAAAAAAAAGGAATCAAAGACATGCAAATTAAAGGACAAAATGCAAATTTCAGGGTTTTTTCTTGTTTTATTACAGAAAATATGAAATATGCACAGATGTGCAGAGAGCCAGTTAATGCAGGTTCCCCTCTTGCCCAATAAGCACCTTCACTAAAGACCAGCCTATGGGTGGCTGGGCGCCTGTAATCCCAGCACTTTGGGAGGCTGAGGCGGGCAGATCATGAGGTCAGGAGATAGAGACCATCCTGACTAACACGGTGAAACCCCATCTCTACTAAAAATACAAAAGAAAATTAGCCGGGCGTCATGGCGGGTGCCTGTAGTCCCAGCTACTCAGGAGGCTGAGGCAGGAGAATGGCGTGAACCCAGGAGGTGGAGCTTGCAGTGAGCCAAGATCGCGCCACTGCACTCCAGCCTGGGCGACAGAGTGAGACTCCGTCTGAAAAACAAAAAACGACAAAAAAAACAGCCTATAGGCATCTTGCTTCCTCCCCGACTCCCTCATCATTTTGAAGCAAATCCCAGACATGGCATCACAAAACGCCATCTTTGGCGGGGCGCAGTGGCTCACACCTGTAATCCCAACACTCTGGGGGGCTGAGGTGGGTGGATCACTTGAAGTCAGGAGTTTGAGACCAGCCTGGCCAACATGGTGAAACCCCGTCTCTACTAAAAATACAAAAATTGGCTGGGCATGGTGGCTCGTGCCTGTAATCTCAGCACTTTGGGAGGCCAAGGTGGGTGGATCACCTGAGGTCTGGGGTTTGAGACCAGCCTGGCCAACATGGAGAAACCCCATCTCTACTAAAAATACAAAAAATTAGCCAGACGTGGTGGCAAGCGCCTGTAATCCCAGCTACTTGGGAGGCTGAGGCAGGAGAATCGTTTGAACCAGAGTGGCAGAGGTTGCAGTGAGCTGAGACTGCGCCACTGCACTCCAGCCTGGGCAACAGAACGAGACTCTGCCTCAGCAACAACAACAACAAATCATACACACACACACACACACACACAAAATTAGCCAGGTGTAGCCGGGTGTAGTGCTCATGCCTGCAATCCCAGCACTTTGGGAGGCCAAGGCAGATGGATCAGGAGGTCAGGAGTTCAAGACCAGCCTGGCCAACATGGTGAAACCATGTCTCTACTAAAAATACAAAAATTAGCCGGGTGTGGTGGCGGGCGCCTGTAATCCCAGCAACTTGGGAGGCTGAGGCAGAGAATTCCTTGAAATCAGGAGGAATTCACTGCAACGGAGGTTGCAGTGAGCCAAGATTGCACCACTGCACTCCAGCCTGGGCAACAGAGCGAGACTCTGTCTCAAGAAAAAACAAAAAACAACACGGCCATTTTCTCTTGATAAAGACATGAGTGCTGCACATGAGCGAGGGTGGAGGTGCAGCTAAGGAGCTGCAGAGCTGGGCCTCAGGCTCCTACTCGGGCCCAGCCCAGCTTGAGCTGGGGGTGCCTGGAGACAGGATTGGACCCCGCCTCCTTCTTGCTTTCAGCAGGGCAACCCCTCAGTCTCCTGTGTCCCCCTGGCTGCATAGCAGAGAGGCCAGCAGCCCTGAAGGGGCCCAAATCCCACCCCCTTCCAAGAGGTCCAACTGCCTGACCTGCTCAGACCTTCAGCTTTAGGCAGGGGTCACTTAATTTCTCTAAACTGGAGATATAATTTTCTTTTTTTTTTTCTTTTCTTTTCTTTTTTTTTTTTTTTGAGACAGAGTCTTGCTCTTGCCCAGGCTGGAGTGCAGTGGTGCAATCTCGGCTCACTGCAAGCTCCGCCTCCCGGGTTCACACCATTCTCCTGCCTCAGCTTCCTGAGTAGCTGGGACTACAGGCGCCCGCCACCACGCCTGGCTAATTTTTTTGTATTTTTAGTAGAGACGGGGTTTCACCGTGTTAGCCAGGATGATCTCGATCTCCTGACCTTGTGATCCACCCGCCTCGGCCTCCCAAAGTGCTGGGATTACAGGCGTGAGCCACCGCACCCGGCCAACTGAAGATACAATTTTCATATGTAAAATATCTTAAATGTAGAATTCCATCAGCTTTAAAAACACATATTCTCTTGTAACCCACTCACCTACAGAGACACAGGATACTTCCATGCCCTACAGGATGGTCCTTCGGGGCAGGTATAAAGTTATAAAGGAGACATTGAGAAGAGGCTAGGGGAACCTGAGAGTGAGGCCTGGGAGGAGGCAGAGACGGGGGATGTGAGGAGGAAAGAGGTGGGGGAGGAAGAGGCAGGGGCGGAGGAGGTGACTCCAGAGGAGGGGGAGGAAAGGGCTTCCACCAGAGGGCAGCCGGGCCCCACCTAAGCACTGCAAGCACTCCTGGCAGCTGGGCTCACTTCTTTCCTAGCAGGGTGATATGAGGAGGGCTCTGGAAGTGGCCGGGGGGCACTGACCTGCCTGCACAGTGGAGGCCCAGTGTCGACGGCCTCCTATGCAGCCTCCTAATTCCTGATGCAACATGAGCCTCCCCACCTTCACCTTCCTGGACCTGCCCGTGGTGTGGCTTCCTGCTGTCCCAGCTGCTGGGAGTCTTGTCACCAGCAGCCTTGAGGGATGGCTGCAGCTGCAGAGCCCCTCGCCCAGGGCCACACCCTCCTAGGGGTGGCCACACCTGGTGACTGATGGAGGCCCTGGCATTCCTGCCTGAGGCAGGACAACTTTGATGGGCGATCTCGGCTCAGGCCTTTGGGGGCCAGCAGGGGCTGTTGCTCCTGGGTGGCCATCACTCCTCCCTCGGCCTCATCTGACCTCCTCGCCCTCCCTCCACAGATGTCCATCCCTAGGGCAGTCTTGTAAATGTCCTAGAGCTCCAAACTCAGGCTCAGAGTCCCTTCCCAGAGCTTTATTCTGCTCCCTCCAATGGAATGTGATCTTTCCAGCCAAGTTCACACTCCTGTCCCCACTTCCACCCCCTAGCCCCCATGCTCCCCTACCCCAGGTTCCCTGAAGGCATTTGGGCCTGATGGTCCTCTCCACACTCTCCTGTTGGCTGAAAAGTCCCTGGGGACAGTGCCTCTGCAACAACCGTTTCTACTCCTCACCCTGGCCCAGCCGTCCTGGGCTTCTTCTCATGCCTATTCACCCTGCAGGGGGGCCCAAGGCTCCTTCCAGGAACCCCATCATCTCCTTGCCCTCTCCCACCCTCAGCTGCTCTACTCTGGTACTCTCACTCCAACACCTCAAACTTAGTAGAGCCTTCAGCCCCACCACGTCTCTCTGCCTATGACCACTGCTCTCATGGAGCCCCAGGAATTGTTCCTCCGGGCATAGCTCTTGAGGTGCCCCCTCCGATATTGACCTGGGTCCGGCTGTGGGCATCAGCAAGAATGGTGCAAACCAAGGCTGTGACCACGCACACCGTGGGGTGACTCCAGAGCTCTCGCTCACTTTGGGATGCCTGCAGCTACGGCTGGCAAGAGCTCCGACGGGGCTGTTGAGGACAGGCCACGCAGAGCGTTTCTGTGGGACAGGTGCTACAGATGGTCCAGCCCCAGCAGACTTCCCAGCCAAATGCAGTCACACAAGTAACCCCAGCTACAATGCTTGGGGTAGAACTGCCCCATGGAGCCAGTCAGCCTGAACGATTGGATAAATAATAAGTTGCTACTGGCTGGGCACGGTGGCTCATGCCTGTAATCCCAGCACTGTGGGAGGCCGAGGCGGACAGATCACCTAAGGTCAGGCATTCAAGAGCAGCCTGGCCAATATGGTGAAACCCTGTCTCTACTAAAACATACAAAAATTAGGCCAGGTGCAAGTGGCTCACACCTGTAATCCCAGCACTTTGGGAGGCCGAGGTGGGCAGATCACCTGAGGTTGGGAGTTTGAGACCAGCCTGACCAACATGTTGAAGCCCTGTCTCTACTAAAAATACAAAATTAGCCAGGCGTGGTAGTGCATGCCTGTAATCCCAGCTACTTGGGAGGCTGAGGCAGAAGAATCACTTGAACCTGGGGGGTGGAGGTTGCAGTGAGCCAAGATGGCCACTGCACTCCAGCCTGGGCAACAAGAGCGAAACTCCATCTCAAAAAAAAAAAAAAAAAAAAATTAGCCGGGCACAGTGGCTCACACCTGTAATCCCAGAACTTTGGGAGGCTGAGAGAGGTGGATCACCTGAGATCAGGAGTTCAAGACCAGCCTGGCCAACATAGTGAAACCCCATCTCTACAAAAATACAAAAAAATTAGCTGGACGTGGTGGTGGATGCCTATAATCCCAGCTACTAGGGAGGCTAAGGCAGAAGAATCGCTTGAGCCTGGAAGGCAGAGGTCTCAGTGAACCGAGATCGTGCCATTGCATTCCAGCCTGGGCAACAAGAGCAAAACTCTGTCTCAAAAACAAAACAAAATAAAAATTAGCGGGGCATGGTGGCACATGCCTGTAATCACAGCTACTTGGGAGGCTGAGGCAGGAGAATTGCTTGAACCAGGAAGGCGGAGGTTGCAGTGAGCCGATATCGCACCACTGTGCTCCAGCCTGGGTGACAGAGCAAGACTCCATCTCAAAAAGAAAAAAAAAAGTTGCTACTAGCGTCTACATTTTACACAGCAGATAGGTGACTGAAATAGAAGTTGGCAGCTGGAAGCGGGGTGCTGCTGGACCAAATACCTAAAATCAGTGGCACTGGCTCCAGGACTGGGTGGCATGGCAAGCAGAGGCCTGAGGAGACTGTCAACAGAGACTGGGAATGAAGGAGCCCACGAGGAGGATGGAGGAAGATGAGCCGTTGTCAGCAGGAGTCCGGAGAGGCGTTGCCACAGCAACCTGGAGACACAGCTGCACCTGATGCTGGGTTCTGGGCCACGAGATGCAGGCAAAAATGTGGAGGGGCCTGGTATGGGATGAAATGCCCAGCCACCAAATAAGAATGTGTTGAAGCCCTAATCCACAGTGTCTCAGAATATCTCAGAATATGACAATATTGGGAAATAGGCCCATTGCATGCAGATTTAATTAGCTCAAGTGATGGTGGAGTAGGGTGGCCTTTTTTTTTTTTTTTTAAAGACAGGGTCAGCCAGGCGAGGTGGCTCACGCCTATAATCCTAGCACTTTGGGAGGCCGAGGTGGGCAGATCACCTGAGGTCAGCAGTTCGAGACCAGCCTGGTCAACATAGTGAAACCTCGTCTCTACTAAAAATATAGAATTAGCCAGGCGTGGTAGCTCATGCCTGTACTGTAATCCCAGCTACTCAGGAGGCTGAGGCAGGAGAAATGCATGAACTCAGGAGGCGGAGGTTGCAGTGAGCTAAGATCACACCATCACACTCCAGCCTGGGCAACAAGAGAGAACCTCCATCTCAAAAAAAAACAAAAACAAAAAGGCTGGGCTTGGTGGCTCACGCCCGGAATCCCAGCACTTTGGGAAGCCAAGGCAGGTGGATCACAAGGTCAGGAGATCAAGACCATCCTGGCTGACATGGTGAAACCCCGTCTCTACTAAAAATACAAAAAAAATTAGCTGGGCGTGGTGGTGGGTGCCTGTAGTCCCAGCTACTCGGGAGGCTGAGGCAGGAGAATGGCGTGAACCTGGAAGGTGGAGCTTGCAGTGAGCCGAGATCGCGCCACTGCACTCCAGCCTGGGCGATAGAGTGGGACTCCATCTCAAAAAAAAAAAAACAGGGTCTCATCCTGTTGTCCAGGCTGGAGTGCAGTGGTACAATCACAGCTCACTGCAGCCTTGACCTCTTGGGTTCAAGTGACCCTGCCACCTCAGCCACAGGGGCATGTCACTGTATCCAGCTAATTTAAAAAAGTTGGCTGGGCATGGTGGCTCACGCCTGTAATCCCAGCACATTGGGAGGCCGAGGCAGGCAGATCACTTGAGGTCAGGAGTTCAAGACCAGCCTGGGCAACATGGTGAAACTCTGTCTCTACTAAAAAAAAAAAAAAAAAAAAAAAAAATACAAAAATTAGCCCAGCCTGGTAATGCATGCCTGTAATCCCAGCTACTGGGGAGACTGAGGCAGGAGAATCACTTGAACCCAGGAGGTGGAGATTGTAGTGAACTGGGATCACACCCAGCGCCCACCAGCCTGGGTAACAGATTGAGACTCCGTCTCAAAAAAAAAAATTTTTTTTTTTTGTAGAGACGAGGTATCACCATGTTGCCCAGGCTGGCTTGAACTCCTGGGCTCAAGGGAGCCTCCTGCCTTGTCCTGTCAAAGTGCTGGGATTACAGTTGTGAGCCACTGAGCCCGGCCTGTCTTCCATGCCTATGGTTCCTTTGTCACAGTTAAGACACCAACATTGGGCCGGGCGTGGTGGCTCACGCCTGTCATCCCAGCACTTTGGGAGGCCGAGGCGGGTGGATCCCCTGAGGTCAGGAGTTTGCGACCAGACTGGACAACATGGTGAAACCCCATCTCTGCTAAAAATATAAAAAAACTAGCATGGTGGTGGGTGCCTGAAATCCCAGCTACTCGGGAGGCTGAGGCAGAATTGCTTGAACTCAGGAGACGGAGGTTGCAATGAGCTGACACAGCACCACTGCACTCCAGTCTCAGTGACACAGTAAGACTCCGTTGCAAAAAAAAAAAAAAGAAAAAAAAAGAAACCAACCTTGATACATTACTGCTAACTCCAGGCTTTATTTGGATTTCACTAGTTTTTCCATCTACATCCTCTATCTGTTACAGAAATCAATTCAAGATACGACTTTGCATTTAGCTATCACGTCTCTTTAGTCTGTGGTCTGTGACAATTTATCAGTCTTTCCCTGTTTTTCATGATCTTGACAGTTTTGAGGAGCACTGCTCAATTTTATAGATTGAATGAGTCTTTGGTAAAATGTCCCTCAGTTGGGGTTTGTCTGATGTGCTCTCGTGATGAGGGTTTGGGGTGTGGGGAGGCTTCTCATTACATCACCGCAGGGCTCATGTGGCGTCACTGTGACATCACTGGTGAGGCTGACCTCAGTCACCTGGTTAACGTGGCATCTGCCAGATTCTTCCACTGTCAAGTTACTATTTTTCTTTTCTTTTCTTTTTTTTTTTTTTTTTGAGACGGAGTCTCGCTCTGTCTCCCAGGCTGGAGTGCAGTGGTGTAATCTCGGCTCACTGCAACCTCTGCCTTCCGGGTTCAAGCGATTCTCCTCCCTCAGCCTCCTGAGTAGCTGTGATTACAGGCAACTGCCACCATGCCCGGCTAATTTTCTATTTTTAGTAGAGACGGGATTTTGCCATGTTGGCCAGGTTGGTCTCGAACTCCCGACCTTGTGATCCACCTGCCTCGGCCTCCCAAACTGCTGGGATTATAGGCGTGAGCCACCACACCTAGCCCTTTTTTCTTTTCTTTTCTTTTCTTGAGACAGAGTTTCGCTCTTGTTGCCAAGGCTGGAGTGCAGTGGCGTGATCTGGGCTCACTGCAACCTCCACCTCCTGGGTTCAAGCGATTCTACTGCCTCAGCCTCCTGAGTGGCTGGGATTACAGGAGCCCACCACCTCGCCCAGCTAATTTTTGTATTTTTAGTAGAGATGGGGTTTCACCATGTTGGCCAAGCTGGTCTCGAACTCCTGAGCTCTGGTGATCCGCCCACCTCGATCCCCCAAAGTGCTGGGATTATAGGCGTGAGCCACCAGGCCCGGCCACCTACCCTTGTTTGACCCAACTAACTGCCTACTCCACACCTGCATCTAAGCAGCAAACCTTTTCCCTAGAAAAACAACCACATCCACTCACCCTTCACATGTGTGACACGCATCTCAACTGAGCACCCCACACTGCCTGACAATCTTACTATACTTTCCCTATCCAGTTACTCTCCTGCTCCCTGGGAAGACTATTTCACACCTCGTCTTCTTGACTTAAAACCTGCTAATCCCCTCCACCTTCAAAGCTAATAACCTTTTTTTTTTTTTTTGAGACAGAGTCTCACTCTGTCGCCCAGGTTGGAGTGCAGTGGCGCCATCTTGGCTCACCACAAGCTCCGCCTCCTGGGTTCACGCCATTCTCCTGCCTAAGCCTCCCAAGTAGCTGGGACTACAGGTGCCCACCACCACGCCCGGCTAATTTTTTTTTGTATTTTTAGTAGAGACGGGGTTTCACCGTGTTAGCCAGGATCTCCTGACCTTGTGATCCGCCCGCCTTGGCCTCCCAAAGTGCTGGGATTACAGGCGTGAGCCACTGCACCCGGCCAACCATTTTTTTTTTTAAGAGATGGGGTCTCACTATGCTGTCTAGCCTGGTCTCAAACTCCTGGGCTTAAGCAATTCTCTTGCCTCATCCCAGCCTCCCAAGCAGTTGAGACTACAGGTGTGCAGAACCGCATCTGGCTAATTTTTGTATTTTCTGTAGAGACAAGGTTCACTATGTTACCCAGACTGGTCTTGAACAGGAGTTCAAGCAGTCCACCTGCTTTAGCCTCCCAAAGTGCTAGCATCACAGGTGCAAGCCACAACGTTCAGCCTAATAATCTTATTAGTTAGAATCACACTTGCCAGCAACTGTTAGAAAACTCCAAATAGGCCGGGCGCGGTGGCTCATGCCTGTAATCCTAGCACTTTAGGAGGCCAAGGCAGGTGGATCAAATAGGCCGGGCACGGTGGCTCATGCCTGCAATCCCAGCACTTCAGGAGGCCAAGGCAGGTGGATCAAATAGGCCGGGTGCGGTGGCTCATGCCTGCAATCCCAGCACTTCAGGAGGCCAAGGCAGGTGGATCAAATAGGCCGGGTGCGGTGGCTCATGCCTGCAATCCCAGCACGTCAGGAGGCCAAGGCAGGTGGATCAAATAGGCCGGGTGCGGTGGCTCATGCCTGCAATCCTAGCACCTTAGGAGGCCAAGGCAGGTGGATCAAATAGGCCGGGTGCGGTGGCTCACACCTGTCATCCCAGCACTTTAGGAGGCCGAGGCAGGCAGATCACGAGGTCAGGCGTTTGAGACCAGCCTGGCCAGCATGGTGAAACTCTGTCTCTACTGAAAATACAAAAATTAGCCAGGCATGGTGGCGGGCACCTGTAATCCCAGCTATTTGGGACGCTAAGGCAGGAGAATCACTTGGAACAGGAAGGCAGAGGTTGCAGTGAGCAGAGATCATACCACTGCACTCCAGCCTAGGCAAAAGAGCGAAACTCCATCTCAACAACAACAACAAATGTAAATTACAGTGGCTTAAACTGGAAATTTGTCTCTTTCACATAAATAGAGTCCATTAGAAGCCATGCAGGACTAGTAGGGCAACTCTACACTCATAGAGCTCCCTAATTCTATCGGTTTGTTTGTTTGATTTGAGACAGAGTAATTCCAGCACTTTGGGAGGCCAAGGCGGGTGGATCACCTGAGGTCAGGAGTTCAAGACCAGCCTGGCCCCAACATGGTGAAACCCCGTCTCTACTAAAAATACAAAAATTAGCCGGGTATGATGGCGTATGCCTGTAATCCCAGGTACTCGGGAGGCTGAGGCAGGAGAATTACTTGAGCTCAGGAAGCAGGGGTTGCAGTGAGCCGAGATCGCCACTGCACTGCAGCCTGGGTGACAGAGCAAGACTCGGTCTCAATAAATAAATAGATAAATAAAATCTCTATTAGGCCATGCACACCTGCACACCAACAAGCAAGACCTTCCTCTTGCAAGCTGCCCCCTGGTTTCTCTGCCCATGACAGTGAAACTTGCTGTGTGAGCTGTACTCTCCTCTTCTTTCCACCCTCTCTCCCTCCCTCCTCCCTGCCCCAGTTCTGTGCTGCTGAGGCCCCTTCTTGAGGCTGTTCCTGCAGGGGCGTTCGTGCCTCTTATGAGTCCCCATCTTACTCAACATGGGTTCCTTCTCCCTCTGTTTGGGTCCTCTTCCCCCGTGGCCCCTTGTCTGCCTCTGTGTCTGATGCCAGAGCTCCATCCTTGGCCCTCCTCCTGTTCTCCCCCATCTTCTGCGTTGCCAGAGACATCTCATCTAGTGCTTTAGCTTTAGGGACCTCCCAGGGCATGATGGTTTCAGGTCTGTGCTTCCCCCTTTCCTTTCTCCCCAGGGCCTTTCTGCCTTTTCAAAATCTCCCCCACAAGGTCCTGTAAGCTCCTCAGGCCTTGTCTAATTCAGAACTCCTGACTGCCAACCCCTCTCCCCATAGCCACCAGCCCCAGTGCCCAGGCCAGACACTCTGGACTCCCGAGTCACTTTTCTTCCCAGCCCACTTCCCGCCCAGCAGCAAATCCCCTCCACGGAGCCGGAGCTCAGAACTGTCTGTGGTCCTTGCTCCTCTCTGTTCCCCTCTGCCCCTCCAGCTCCCTTTCCTCCGTGCACAATTCCTGCAGCCTCCTGGCCTTTCCCCACCGCTCCCTCCCTGGGTCTTAGTGCATATCTGCTTACAGCTCTCCAGCAGATTCCCATGGCACACAGGACTAAAGCTCTGAGCTATGGCCTCCAAGGACGCTGCCTGCCCTTCCCACCTCATCTCAGGCCTCCTTCTCCCTTGTCCTCTCTACTCTGACCAGCCCAATCCCCTTGCAGCTTCTCCAGCACACCCAGCTCAGTCCTATATCACGCCCTTGTGTTGTGTTTACTCTTTGCCCACGATGCCCTTCCCCCAAAGCTCCCCAGCCAGAGGGACCCTGCCCCTCCAACCACTCTTCATTCTGGGTCCCTCTTAGATCACCAGCTCCAGGGAGGAGGGACTTTGCCTGCCTGAGTGAAACAGAGCCCTCAACCCAAACCTAAGTTTGGTGCTGCCACTGTAGGACACCTTGAGCCCCATCTTCTGGGGAGTGGAGGTCCCTGCACTTGTGCTGTTAATGACAATTGCTTCCAGGGATTACCTAAAGCCACTTCAGTAGCCCCCAGATCCTGCCCCAGAGATGGGCCAGGGTGCCTGTGTGCCCAGTGAGTTTTGAGCAGCCTTGGGATTGGGGGTCAAGTAGAGACTCTAAGTCATGGTTCCAGGCAGAACTGGCTTCACGAGCCTGCAACCTGGGCAGTCACACAGGGCCCCAGGCTCAGAAAGGCCCCATACTTGAGTTTTTGTTGCTGTTGTTGTTGTCGTTGTCGTTTTGGGACAGAGTCTCACTCTGTCACCCAGGCTGGAGTGCAATGGCTCAATCTCCGCTCACCCGCAACCTCTGCCTCCCAGGTTCAAGCGATTCTATTCCTTCAGCCTCCCGAGTAGCTGAGATTGCAGGGATGCACCACCACACCCAGCTAATTTTATATTTTTAGTAGAGACAGGGTTTCACCATGTTGGTCGGGCTGGTCTTGAACTCCTGACCTCAGATGATCCGCCCGCCTTGGCCTCCCAAAGTGCTGGGATGACAGGCGTGAGCCACCATGCCCAGTCTATCTTGAAATTCTTAATAACTTTATTTTTATTTTTATTGTTTATTTTATTAGAGACTGGGGTCTCACTATGTTGTCCAGGCTAGCCTTGAACTCCTGGGTTTAAGCTGTCCTCCCACCTTAGCCTCCTGAGCAGCCGAGACTACAGGTATACACCACTGCACCCCACTTATTAACTTCCTAACAATGGGCTCCAAATTTTCATTTGGCATGGGACCCTGCAAATTATGTAGCTGCTCCTGGTTGCAGGGACGTTCAGCTGATAATGCCTGAAGATCCGGAGAGCCAGGTCCTGCTTTCCCTGGGACCCCATGGCCCACAGCCTTCTCGGCTTCCACAACAGCCCCCAGCACTCAGGAGGCCTCAGGTGCTGCAGTGATAGCTGGGGGATCCACTGGACAGGAGAGTGTGGGCCTGGGGTTCCAGCAGGCACAGCAAGTGGGTGTCAGGGGCGCAGGCCTGGGGTTCCAGTGGGCACGGTGAGCGGGTGTCAGGGGCGCGGGCCTGGGGTTCCAGCGGGCATGGCGAGCGGGTGTCAGGGCACTGCACATCCTCCCTCCTAGGAGGCCCTGCACCCTGGCCCGGGACTCTTGTGCCCACCCCCTTGGAGGCAAGCGGCAGCAGCTTTGTGGGTACTGGGGCAAGCATGCACCCCAGGCACAGGGCTTGTTCTCTGGCCGCACCCCACCCCATTGCTGGTTGGAGTAGCAGCAGGCACCGGGTCCAGAATGGGCCAGATTCTGACTCCTGGATTCCACGCATTGGTCAGCACCTCTGAGGTCAGGTAGGACAAGTTAAGTGCTGCTGGCTAAGAGGGGATGGAGTTCCCAGCCTCTCTAGTGATGGGCCGAACCTCAGAGGCCTGGCTATATGCCATCCCTTGCTCTCAGCTGTTCCTGTCTTCGAACACAAGCTGTGGGGTTTGCTTCAGTCAGCTGGAAGGCACAGGCTCTCTGAGGTCCTAGGAGTGCGCAACAGTGGAAGACCTAGGCACCAGAGGGCCTCCCCTGCCCCCTAAAATGATCCGTGTGGAAGCTGAGGCAGCTTTATTGAAAGGAAGGCCAGTGAGTGGGACTCACATTTGATCTGCCCCAGAGTGGGGCTGGGAGGTTACCGAGAACACAGTCCCGAGGTGGGGGAGGCCCTCAGAGTCACACCTCCAGGCTGGACTGAGAGGAGCTGGGCTTGTGACCCATGGGGCTCTTGCCCATCACAGTGCCAGCGCCAGGGGGTGGCCAGTGGCGAACCACGTGCCGGTAGGAGGTGGCCAGGTAGTCGAAGTAGTTGATGTTGAGTTTCCGGGCGATGTAACGGCCCAAGTATTCCATTTGCTGTGGGAGCAGGTGGCGCTCAACTGGGGCCGGGACAGGACAGACCCGAGTCGCCGTCCAGGCGTCTCCTTCCCCTACCAGGCTGCATCCCCCGTCCTGCCCGAAGCCCCGGCGCCCTCTCCACGGCCCCCAGCACCGAAGACCGTGTTGTATTTACCCTCTGCGTGCGGAAACGGCCCCACCCAAAGACCTTAAACAGTGATCGGTGTCATCGTGTCCTGAGGAGGGCGCGTGTCTGGGCGGGACCCACCTCGTAGTGCTCCGACAGCTGCACCAGCACCAGGGGCTCCAACCTGTGGCCGCCGAGGACCAGGTGGAAGAAGCACCTTCCGTGGGCTGCGGGGAGAGCGGACTTAGCCAGCCTGGCCGCCCCTCCGACCTCCCAAGCTGCCTCCCCGTCCCTGGCGCACCCTCCCGGCCCGTTACCATCGGAGCTGAGCGCCAGGCGCACGTAGACCAGATGCAAGGGGCCCTGGCACACGGTGCGGCCCTGGATGGAGAAGTGGTACACGCCGCGCGTGTGGTTCAGCACCAGGCGGCGCCGCGGCAGCGACGAGATCACGAGCCACAGGCCCACGCCCACGCCGTACACGAGGAAGACCCAGGTCTCTTGCTTCTGCACCTGCGGGCGCCACGCGGAGAGTCTGAGCGGCGCGGGGCCGGCCCTCAGGGGAGGAGGGCGGTGGGGGTCGGGCCCAGGGGCTCACACCTCTCTCAGGGAGCTGAAGCTGACCAGGACCACGCTGATGATGAAGAGCAGCATCCCCTTCCACAGTGTGTCCAGGTAGTATTCGAGCACGAAGACTGGGGGTGGCGCGGCGCGTGAGGACGCCCCGGCCCTGCCCGCAGCCGGGGGTGGCGGTGCCAAGGCTTGGCCCGGACTAGCTGGGTCCGCGCAGGGCTCGCGGAGGCGACGTCTCGCCTGCGGCCTCTCCGTCCCCAGGAGCACCGGCCGGCCCCACCCAGGGCCCTGGCCCTGCCTCTGCCCACCTGGCTCCGCCCCATTCAGGCCTCGGGCCCGTCTCCCTCCTCCCCCGCCCCGCCCTTCCCAGCCCCGCCCCGCCCCGCCCCGCCCAGCCTCGCGCGCACCGTTTGGCTCCTGCTGCACGAATGGGTAGAAGCTATTGTTCTTGAGGCGTCTGGCCAGGTGGCGCTCCGGGCAGGTGAGTCCTAGGAACCAGAGCTGGAAGCGCCAGCCGATGGAGGTCGTGGGCAGGCTGCCGGCCCGGCCCTTAGGCATCTGAGTCAGGCAGAGGTGGTCAGCCTGGCCGCTCGTCCGCTGCCGCCGCCCACTGCCCACAGCGGCACTCCTACCTCGGTGAGCAAATTCTCCAGGGCTGCAGGCCCAGGAAGGAGCAGGAGCTCACAGGCGACTGACAGGGCAGCGAGGCCAGGGAGCGGCCCAGGGTGGACCGCGGATGGGTTCTAGAAGTTCTGGGCAGGTTCTAGAAGGGGCTGCTCTGTTGACCACCTCTTAGGGAGTCCAGGGTGAGGTCCTGCGGTAGGCATTAACTTCTTGGCCAGTCCATCCACTGGAGGCCCCCTGTATGGCCTGTTCACAGTCCCCATGTGAAGGGTGGATGGGTGGACACCCTAGGCCTGAGCTGGAGAGAAATTTGCAGGCGGCGACCACTCAGTGAGCCCCACAGCTGGGCGGGGCCCCACCCCCTCCCACCCCCCACCCACATGCAACCACAGACAAGCTCACCAGTGTCCCCGAGGACGGAACACACACACTGGACCCAGCAGTGGGCAGGCAAAGGCATGGCCACCTGCAGGCTCAAGAGCCCATGGGACCACCCTGACCCCACAACACACAGGCTCTGGGCCGGCTGTAGCCCCAGTGGCTCCATCAGGTATAACCTGTTGCCCAACCCTACCCTGAGGACCACACACACAGAACTCCTAAAAATGTTTTATTTTAACAAAATGCTCAAATATCTGAAATTGGGCAAAGGTGGAGGGTGGGCAAGCTGGCTGAGGTGTCCCAGGTCTGTGGCTGCCTAGCTGGGTGAGGGGCTGGTGAGCAGCTGCTCCAGACACCACTGGACTTCCTCCAGGCCCCGGTAGGCCCGCTTCAGACCCCGGGGAAGGCAGCGGCAGGACTCCAGGTTGAGGTAGAGCAGGCCCGGGCAGCCGCTGATCACAGAGCTGTGGGGAGGGCAGACCACAGGAAGTTGAGCTGTTGCCTCAGAAGGGCTGGGCCAGGCTAGGGAGCTGTGCCTGCTGGTGTTCGACACCTGGCTCTGCCACCCATAGCCACCAAGGCCAAGCCCAGTTCCCCTGGTGTCCTCAGGCCCACCCCACGCAGGGGCTTGGACAGTATGCATGCCCCTCTGACCCCTGGAGGTCTCAGGCCAGGCAGGACACAACTTCCAGGCCCCAGGCAGACACAGTGACAGCCACACTGGCTCCAGGGACTGGGGTAGGGGATGCTGACCTGACAGTGCTTGGTGTGACCCGGGTGCCCCTGAGGTTAAGAGAGCACAGGGCTGGGTGTGAGCCCCCAGGGGTGCTTAAGAAGGCAGCCAGGGCCTGCTCCAGGTCCTTCTCACTGAACCCCTGGCCACTCAAGTCCAGTTCTCGCAGTGTATGGCACCACTTCTGGGTCAAAAAGGGGCTGCCCTCCTTGGCTAGAGTCAGCCGGTCTGACGTGCCATACAGGCCCAGATGAAGCTGCTCCAGCTCTGCAGTGAAAGGAGTGAGCATAAGCTACAAGGTGACAAGGGCCCCCACACCTCACCCGCCCGGCCACCACCCAGGACTGCTGACCCCGACATGGCAGATCCTGAAGGCCAGCCGGCGTGATGCGCGCACAGCCACGAAGATCCAGTAAGCGCAGGTTGGGAGAGCCGTGGAGTAGGCGGCCCAGGACCTCGTTGCTCACAAAGTTGCAGGTTGAGCTCGCCAGGCAGAGCTCCTCTAGGCTAGGGAAGCCTGGTCCGGGAGCCACCCCTCGTCCCGGAGGCTTGGGCAGCCACATCAGGTTCAACAGCCGCAGCACCTGGGGGCAAGGTCCAGGCTGTAGATGGGGGAGGGTGTGACAGGTGGGAGAGGCAGGGCGCCAGGTACCTGGAGCTGAGGGCAGCCTTTCTGCAGAGCCTCGACAGGCAGCTGAAGGGGAATGCTATTACGGTTGATGCCGGTGCTCACCTCCAGGACCTGGAGCTGGGGGCAGCAGCTGCCCTGCAGAGATGGGGGGAGGGGGTAGGTCACAGGGTCAGTGGCCTGGCAGTCCCCAGCTCAGCATCTGCCTCTGCTCCCACCAATGCCAACTTACCAGCAGTGCGCCCAGGATGGCTGTCGTCTGGGAGCTGTAGGTCAGCCACAACTTGCGCATTCGGGACCCTGCCTCCTCCAAGAAGCTCACCACAGCTGTGGACTCCACCTGGGGCCCCAATACAAGAGCACCCGTCACCCCGGCCTGGGTTTTTTCAGGGCCCCTTGGGACACAGGGCTCACCATGGAGTGCTGTAGGTCCAGGCTATGGAGCTGGCAGCAGGCTTTGGCTAGCATGACCAGAGCGTCAGCAGTCACACCGTGGCAGCCGGAGAGCTTGAGGAAAGTGAGCCGAGGACAGCACTCACCTACCAGCTGCGGGGAGACAGAGGGGCAGCTGGGGTTGGGAGACGACAGGCTAAGATCCACAAGGGAAACAGACAAGTGGCTGGTGCCAACCCCACTCTACCGCCTTAGCTGTGACCTCCTTTCTGCCCATGCCAGGCCTACTTGGGTGTCCCCGCCTCTGATACCTCCCTGCTGGAGGAAACAGCAGGAAAAGAGAACCAGGCAGGCAGGCAGACATCCCCACGGAGCAGCGTTGGGCCCCCAAGGTGCCTGACCCACTTCCTAGAGTACTGAACAGTCCCAGAGTGTCACAGCTGATGTGCAGGACAGCCTGGAGCTCTCACCTTCAACACGGGGTGTACCTGAGACTTCCAGTGGATGAGGGTCAGCCTCTGGAGCTGTGAAAACCTGGGCCGACAGCGGAGGCAGAGCTGCACTAATGTTCCCACACGAGTCCTTCCCACCCAACACCTTGGTGCAGGGAGACGGAAGGAGCCTGGAGCCAGGGGTAAGGAAGAGAGGGAACCCCTCACCGATTGGGCATAAGCCACTCCAGGGAAGCAAGGAGCTTCTTCTCCGCCTTGACCCCGCCCTTGGCAGGCCGGCCGACCAGCGGGGACGACAGGGTCACGGTGTGCCAGAGCGCGGGTTGGGAAGCGGCCTCCTGCCAGCGGCGGCACACGCGCGCAGCCCTGGGAGGACAGCGTGCTGAGGGTGCCGGCCCCTCCGTAGGCGATGCCCCCCTCTCGCAGCGCAGTAGACACCCCGGCTCAAAGCCGGGCTCCTGGGACTCCAACTGGGCGCCTAAGGGGCTGCGCTCTCGGACTGAGCGGTGCGCGCTCCGATGCTTTCGCCCTCCGCCCCCGCCCGGGCCACCGCTCGGACCACGTCTGGCCCAAGCCGCTACGCTCGGCGGCGGGCCCGGCACCAGCGTTACCTGCCCAGGAAGGGCATGGGGCCGTCCGCCGCCACCAACAACCCGAAAATCTGCACCAGGATTTCCAAGGGAATGCGGTCTCCCCAGCCCGCGTCGGGCCCTTCCTCGGGCGTGGGCGTGGGTGCCGGTGCGGGTGCGGGCGCGGCCGCCGCCTCGGACCTGAGCCCGGCCTTGGGCTTGGCCGCGGCGCTGGGGCCCCGGGGCGGCTGCCGGGGAGTGCGGCGGGAAGCGCGCCGCTGTGCGCGGGGCCGGGCGGGGCCGGGTTCGGACAGCACCAGCAGCATGCTGTCGGACTGCAGCAGGTGGTACCCCGAGCCCCTCGGCGCCAGCCGGTCCCACCACCAGTCCTCGGCCGAGCGGGGCCGCGGCGCTGCCCGGGCTCTGCGTCGGACCTGCCGGGAGGCTGGGGCAGCCATGACCACCGACGGCGCTCGGGGAAGCCCCAGGGAGCGGAACGGGCGAGGCTTATAGACCGACAACCCCCCGGTTCCTCTCAACGCCCGCCCGCCCGCCGACCAGCTTCCGGGGCGGGACTTCCGGTCGTGGGCCATGCCGGGGGCGGGCCCGGAACCGCCACGGGTGAGTCGGGTCGTGGCTGCTGCCGGGTCCTGCGCGCTCCGGACTGAGGTGGCGTCCCTGGGCCGGACGGCGGTGTCCCGGCGTGGCGGGAAGCCGGCACTGGAGCGGGAGCGCACTGGGCGCGGGACCGGGAGGCGCAGGGACCGGACGGCTCCCGAGTCGCCCACCTGACGGTACCGAGAGGGCGGCGCCCCTCCGAGCAGAGCCGTCCCGGCCACTCCCCTGGGATCTGACTTGGCTCTTGCGGTCGCGGGCACCGTGAAGCCCTGGGGTGTGCGTGGCTCCTCCTGGTAGGCGCCCTTTCCCGGCGTCCGGCTTGGGGTGGTGGTGGCGTTGACTCCAGCCCCGCCTCTCCCTGGAGAGGAGGGCTCCACTCGCTCCTTCGGCCTCCTCCCCTGGGGCCGCAGCGACTCGGGCCGGCTTCCTGCTTCCCTGCCTGCCGGCGGTCCCGCTGGGTACGTTTTAGCCAATCCTCCCCATCTGCGCTCCTGCCCGGGGCTCCCCCAGTTCCCCTGGTCTCACCCTGTTCTGACTCCGGCTCTGCATCCTATCTGTTTCTCTGTTTCTTTCAAGCTAGAAGAAGTCTTCACTTCCCAGGAGAGCCAAAGCGTGTCTGGCCCTAGGTGGGAAAAGAACTGGCTGTGACCTTTGCCCTGACCTGGAAGGGCCCAGCCTTGGGCTGAATGGCAGCACCCACGCCCGCCCGTCCGGTGCTGACCCACCTGCTGGTGGCTCTCTTCGGCATGGGCTCCTGGGCTGCGGTCAATGGGATCTGGGTGGAGCTACCTGTGGTGGTCAAAGAGCTTCCAGAGGGTGAGTGGGAGGGAGGTGCAGGTGTGCCCAAGACTCCTGGGCTGCGGTCAGTGGGATCTGGGTGGAGCTACCTGTGGTGGTCAGAGAGCTTCCAGAGGGTGAGTGGGAGGAGGTGCAGGTGTGCCCAGGAAGGTGGGCTTTGGCACTCTTCCTCCCTTGGGCATCATGACCCTGACATGGCCTCCTCCCTTCCCTGCAGGTTGGAGCCTCCCCTCTTACGTCTCTGTGCTTGTGGCTCTGGGGAACCTGGGTCTGCTGGTGGTGACCCTCTGGAGGAGGCTGGCCCCAGGAAAGGACGAGCAGGTCCCCATCCGGGTGGTGCAGGTGCTGGGCATGGTGGGCACAGCCCTGCTGGCCTCTCTGTGGCACCATGTGGCCCCAGTGGCAGGACAGTTGCATTCTGTGGCCTTCTTAGCACTGGCCTTTGTGCTGGCACTGGCATGCTGTGCCTCGAATGTCACTTTCCTGCCCTTCTTGAGCCACCTGCCACCTCGCTTCTTACGGTCATTCTTCCTGGGTCAAGGCCTGAGTGCCCTGCTGCCCTGCGTGCTGGCCCTAGTGCAGGGTGTGGGCCGCCTCGAGTGCCCGCCAGCCCCCATCAACGGCACCCCTGGCCCCCCGCTCGACTTCCTTGAGCGTTTTCCCGCCAGCACCTTCTTCTGGGCACTGACTGCCCTTCTGGTCGCTTCAGCTGCTGCCTTCCAGGGTCTTCTGCTGCTGTTGCCGCCACCACCATCTGTACCCACAGGGGAGTTAGGATCAGGCCTCCAGGTGGGAGCCCCAGGAGCAGAGGAAGAGGTGGAAGAGTCCTCACCACTGCAAGAGCCACCAAGCCAGGCAGCAGGCACCACCCCTGGTCCAGACCCTAAGGCCTATCAGCTTCTATCAGCCCGCAGTGCCTGCCTGCTGGGCCTGTTGGCCGCCACCAACGCGCTGACCAATGGCGTGCTGCCTGCCGTGCAGAGCTTTTCCTGCTTACCCTACGGGCGTCTGGCCTACCACCTGGCTGTGGTGCTGGGCAGTGCTGCCAATCCCCTGGCCTGCTTCCTGGCCATGGGTGTGCTGTGCAGGTACACAAGGACCCCCAGCCCCTGTGCGGGTGGAACTCAGGGCTAGGAGCCAGGTCCTGGCGCAGTCAGCCCTGACATTCTGCTCGCTCACTGCAGGTCCTTGGCAGGGCTGGGCGGCCTCTCTCTGCTGGGCGTGTTCTGTGGGGGCTACCTGATGGCGCTGGCAGTCCTGAGCCCCTGCCCGCCCCTGGTGGGCACCTCGGCGGGGGTGGTCCTCGTGGTGAGCACAGGGGGACATGAAGTGGGGTGGGGGGGCGTTGCCCTGGAGCAGGCACATCTCACGCTCAGCTGGTGCTGTGTCCCCCTCAGGTGCTGTCGTGGGTGCTGTGTCTTGGCGTGTTCTCCTACGTGAAGGTGGCAGCCAGCTCCCTGCTGCATGGCGGGGGCCGGCCGGCATTGCTGGCAGCCGGCGTGGCCATCCAGGTGGGCTCTCTGCTCGGCGCTGTTGCTATGTTCCCCCCGACCAGCATCTATCACGTGTTCCACAGCAGAAAGGACTGTGCAGACCCCTGTGACTCCTGAGCCTGGGCAGGTGGGGACCCCGCTCCCCAACACCTGTCTTTCCCTCAATGCTGCCACCATGCCTGAGTGCCTGCAGCCCAGGAGGCCCGCACACCGGTACACTCGTGGACACCTACACACTCCATAGGAGATCCTGGCTTTCCAGGGTGGGCAAGGGCAAGGAGCAGGCTTGGAGCCAGGGACCAGTGGGGGCTGTAGGGTAAGCCCCTGAGCCTGGGACCTACATGTGGTTTGCGTAATAAAACATTTGTATTTAATGAGTTGGCATTAATTCTTTGAGCACATCTCTCTGTGTGGATGCTTCCCTGAACTAGAGCCATGGCCTGGCCTGTTTAACAGGCTGCCTCTCCCCAGGCCCTGGGCAGGTCCTTACCCACCACAGGCTGGTCTCACGGATTGTACAGTCATGCCCTCTGAGCCCAGACTACCCCACATTGCTTCTTGGAACTGCCCTGGGCTCTCTGGGCCCACACGAGCTACCAGCTTCGGTGGTCAGAGGAGTAGAGGAGCCTCTTCCCGGCAAGGCCACTGCTCCACGAGCACCTCTCAAGGGCTGAGGGTTAGTCGGATGGGGCTGCGATGTGCCGAGCCCCCTGTCCACCCTTAGCCCTGGAGTGACTGTTTGCCTGCTAGCTTCCCAGGAGTATCCTGCTAGGGATTTACACCAGGGGGTTGGTGTGCAGGCACCGGGGTACTCAGTGAGGGGGACTCAGAAGAGACAGAGTTTAAGGTTTTAGCCCATCGGGACCGTTTGGCCTGAGCATTACCCCACTCCCCTGAGCCTCCACCCTCTCAGTGACAGCTCCTCCTGCAATCAGACCCCCAAAGGCCCCAAACTGTTTCTTCAGGCAGACTTGGCTACAGCTGTCTTCTCCCTGGGCTGCTGGCACACTGCCCCTAGCCCTGAGCAGCCTGGGCCTGTATGTGTTGGCATCTGCAGGGAGCAGGACCTCAGCACTGACCATGGTCTATCCTGGGCTGGGTGGTTCTTGGGCTCCCACAAAAAGAGCTGGAGCTGCAAAGGAACTAACTGAGAGGAGCCCCTGAGCCTGGGAGCAAGGATCTGGAAGAAAGTGCTGGGAGAGACCACGCCAAGGTAGGAGCCTGGCTTTCTTCACCTCGTGGGCCGCCACCCCAGGGAGGCAGGACACCGAACTGTGATCAGTATGACGGGCCTGGCAGCAAGGCCCATTCTCCCAGGCAAGAGGCCCCACTTCTGCAGAAGGGCCCCTGCAGCTACAGGGAGCGTGCAGGCACTGGGGATGGTGGGTCTGTTCCTGCTGCCCAAGCTCTGTCTGCGACGGTTCCGCTCTGCGGAGGCCCTTTCTCATTGTCCTTGAGTTGGCCTGCACACGGGCCTTTGAAGGCCTGGTCTTCCTCCCCACTTCTGCTCCCTCCTGTCTTGGCAGGACCATCAGAGGAGGAAGGAGCCCCTGTGACCCGGAAAGCCTCTAGTCTGGGCCCCATCAAACATCAGGGGGCAGGCCAGCTCCCAGGGGGGCTCAGGACCACCCAACTCTGAGGGCAGAGGCCACTGCCAGCTCCAGCCTTCCAGGATGCTGCCGCCTGAGGCTGGGCCCCTGCCCAGCTGACCCGGCTGCTTCCCTTTGGGGGTTGCAGGTACTGAGGGTTCTAGGGGGTGGGGGCTGAAGGTTGAGTGTGAGCTTCAGAAGTCGCCTGGTAAAAGAAGAAAGCTTCTGAGGGAGGATGAGGACAAGGATGGGACAAGGTGGGTGGTTTGGTGGCATGGCTGTGGGCAACAGGGCTCCTGGTCTCATGCTTGCCCCCTTCCCCTCATCGCTTTGCCACCACCCCCATCAGCACCGGTGCTTGGGGCCTGCCCTCTCCTGTCCACCCTGGGCTGCAGGCTTGGTGGAGCCACCTCCCAGCTTCTTCTATCTTCCCTCCCATAGGCCAGCGATCAAAGGCATCCATGGAGGCTCTGCTCTGTGCCACACATGAGCCACACTCCCCCAGGCCGCAGAGGAGCAAGGTGCACAAGCCTGAGTGAGGAATCCGCTGCCTTTTGAAGTCTCTGTGAGCTTCCTGCCCATCCCAGTAGGAACTGGGGCAGGGGTCAGAATCATAATGGCAGAAAGGTGCCTCAGGGCCGAGGCCTTGAGCACTGCTCACTTACAGTTTCCCGGGGCTGAGTCCAGGGCCAAAGCTGGGCCCCTGGGAGGCAGGATAGCCCACCACGCAGGGCCTGCTGGGGCGAGGATGCCCACCACCACCAGCTGCACAGCAAGTGGCCAGAGGCTCTGAAGCGCGAAACCCTGCCCAAGAGGAATTTGGAGGAGACTCCACCCTCCACCGGAAGGCAGGAATGGAGCCGGACCTGACGTCCCCCACTGTCCCCAGAGGGTGGTCCCCTGAGTAGGAGCAAAGCCTGCAACTCACTGTTCCTTGTCCCTCCACAAGGAAAGGTTTCCTGGGCTCCTCACCAGCAGAGAAGGGGCCAAGTGCAGTAGCTCATGCATGTAATCCCAGCACTTTGGGAGGCCGAGGCGGGTGGACCACCTGAGGTCAGGAGTTCGAGACCAGCCTGGCAAACATGGCAAAACCCCGTCTCTACTAAAAATACAAAAATATGCCAGGCGTGGTAGCAGGTGTCTGTAATCCCAGCTACTCGGGAGGCTGAGGCAGAATTGCTTGAACCTGGGAGGCAGAGGTTGCAGTGAGCCGAGATCGCGCCATTGCACTCCAGCCTGGGCAACAAGAGCGAAACTGCATCTCAAAAAAAGAAAAAAACCAGCAGTGAAGGGCCAGCCAGGCCGTGGCCACCACGTGCAGCCGCCTGTCCCAGGTATGTGGTCATCCCATGTGATGCTGATCCTCTGTGTGTGGGGACAAGCCTCGCTGGCTGTGATTGAGCAGCTGACCTAAGAGCCTTCCCATCCTTCAGTTCTGTAGTTCTCCGCCCAGCTTAGTCCCTAGATGGGTGCAGGTGACTACGGGGTTAAGGAACAGTTGCACCCCTTGATTTTTTTTTTTTGGGAAGGAGTCTCGCTCTTTCGCCCAGGCCGGAGTGCAGTGGCGCTATCTTGGCTCACTGCAAGCTCTGCCTCCTGGGTTCACGCCATTCTCCTGCATCAGCCTCCCGAGTAGCTGGGACTACAGGCGCCCGCCACCACGCCCGGCTATTTTTTTGTATTTTTAGTAGAGATGGGGTTTAACTGTGTTAGCCAGGATGGTCTCGATCTCCTGACCTTGTGATCCGCCCGCCTCGGCCTCCCAAAGTTCTGGGATTACAGGCGTGAGACACTGCGCCCGGTCTTGTTTGTCTTTTAGAGGTAGAGTCTCGTTCTTTTGCCCAGGCCTGAGGCTCAAGTGAGGTCGAGGACTCAAATGATCTTTTTTTATTTTTGGAGACTGAGTCTCGCTCTGTCACCAGGCTGGAGTGCAATGGCACGATCTCAGCTCACTGCAACCTCCGCCTCCCGGGTTCAAGCGATTCTCCTGCCTCAGCCTCCCGAGTAGCCGGGATTACAGGTGCCCACCACCACACCCAGCTAATTTTTGTATTTTTAGTAGAGACGGGATTTCACCATGTTGGCCAGGCTGGTCTCGAACTCCTGACCTCAGGTGATCCGCCCACCTCGGCCTCCCACAGTGCTGAGATGACAGGTGTGAGCCATGGCGCCCGGCCCAAGATGGTTTTAGATATGACAAAACATCTTGATAGAAACTGAAACCCTTAGCCGGGTGCGGTGGCTCACACCTGTCATCTCAGCACTGTGGGAGGCTGAGGTGGGCGGATCACCTGAGTTAAGGAGTTCGAGACCAGCTTGGCCAACATGGTGAAACCCCGTCTCTACTAAAAATACAAAAATTAGCCGGGCGTGGTGGCGCACGCCTGTAATCCCAGCTACTCGGGAGGCTGAGGCAGAAGAATCGCTTGAACCCGGGAGGTGGAGGTTGTAGTGAGCTGAGATTGCACCACTGCACTCCAGCCTAGGCTATGACAGAGCAAGACTCTGTCTCAAAAAAAAAAAACTTGAGCCTGGGCAACATAGTGACATCCCATATCTACCAAAAAATTAAAAATTGGCTGGGCATGGTGGTGAGAGCCTACAGTCCCACTTACTCGGGAGGCTGAGGCAGGAGGATCACTTGAGCCCAAGAGGTCTAGGCTGCAGTGAGCCTTGATTGTACCACCGGACTTCAGCCTGGGTAACAGAGCGAGACTCTGTCTCTAAATAAAATAAATACATGATTTTGGAGATTCCCCAGAGATTTGTCCTTTCACCTCCTGCCCTTGATTCTCAGAGGCTCTTACTGAGCCTCCTCAGTTTTCATGGCAACGTAGGTATTTGCATGGTGTCTTGTGGGCGGAGGATTACCTAGGTGCCGAGGCAAGAGACTGAAGGCAGAAACTGTTTCAGTATAATAAAGAAAATATTTAGAATAAGAATAGTCATAATACAAATTAGATATAGGGATGACCATGGACAATTATCAATCATTATTATAAGCATTATTAATCATTAGCTTTTACCATTACTCTTTGTTGCATTACTAACAAAACGTAGGAATAACCGGCGGATATAGGGTCGGGTGCTGAACGGACATGGTGAGAAGTGACCTAGAAGGCAAGAGGTGAGCCCTCTGTCACGCCCGCATAAGGGCTGCTTGAGGGCTCCTTGGTCAAGCCCTAACGCCAGTGTCTGGGAAGTCACCCGTTGCTTAGTAGACTGCGAAAGGGAGTCTCCTTTCCTTGGAGGAGTCAGGGAACACTCTGCTCCACCAGCTTCTTGTGGAAGGCTGGATATTATCCAGGCCTGGCCGCAATCATCCGGAGGCCTAAACCCCTCCCTGTGGTGCTTCAATGTTCACGCTCCTTGTCCACTTTCATGCTCCTCCTGTACTCCTAGTTCCTCTTTGAAGTTTGTAGTAGATAGCAGTAGAAGAAATAGTGAAAGTCTTAAAGTCTTTGATCTTTCTTGTAAGTGCATACAAGAAAACGCTGACGTTTGCTGCCTTCTCTCTCTGCTTCGGCTACCTAAGAGGGAAGGGCCCCCTGTCCTATGATCATGTGACTTGCTTCACCTTGTCAATCACTTAGAAGATTCACCCTCCTTACCCTGCCCCCCTTGTCTTGTATGCAATAAATATCAGCGCGCCCAGCCATTCGGGGCCACTACCGGTCTCTGCGTCTTGATGGTAGTGGTCCCCCGGGCCCAGCTGTTTTCTCTTTATCTCTTTGTCTTGTGTCTTTATTTACTACAATCTCTCGTCTCTGCACATGGGGACAACACCCGCTTAGCCCCATAGGGCTGGACCCTACAGTGTCTTAGTTCGTTTTGTGCTGCTATAATGCCACAGACTGGGTAATTGATAATAAACTGGGATTTATTGGTTCTGGAGATTTGGAGGTCCAAGAGGGAGGGGCCACATCTCATGAGGACCTTCCTGCTGCCACATAACATGCCAGCAGGCATTATGTGGCTGGACGGAAAGGGGCCAAACTCATCCTTTTATAAGGAATCAATTCCCGAAATAATGGCATTAATCCCTTCATGAGGGTGAAGCCCTCAAGACCTAATCACCTCTTAAAGGTCCCACCTCTGGCGGGGTGTGGTGGTTCACGACTGTAATCCCAGCACTTTGGGAGGTGGAGGCGGGCGGATCACTAGGTCAGGAGTTCAAGACCAGCCTGACCAACATGGAGAAACCCCGTCTCTCTAAATATACAAAATTTGCCAGGCGTGGTGGCACATGCCTGTAATCCCAGCTATTCGGGAGGCTGAGGCGGGAGAATTGTTTGAACCTGGGAGGCAGAGGTTGCGACAAGCCAAGATCGCACCATTGCACTCCAGCCTGGGATGACAGAGCGAGATTCCATCTCAGAAAAAAATAAAAAGGTCCCACCTCCAATACTGCCACACTGGGGATCAGGTTTGCAATCCATGAACTCTGGGGGACACTTTCAAACCACAGCACATAGATTCAGTTAAGAGACTCTTCTCCTTTTACAGAAGACAATTGGATGAATTGGTTAGGTCACCAAGGCCTTGTCCAGGTTGTCATATGGAGAGTTCTGCTCTTTCACTGGGGATGACCAGCCGCTGCTGCGGACCTTGGGTTGCTGTTATGAAGGAGTGCCTGCAAATCCTCCTGAGGGTGCAGACCCCAGGCCTTGCAGGTGACCAGGAAGGTGATTTCCTGGCAGGCCCAGGAACATAGAAATTGACCCAAATTATAGGTATTGCGTTTCTTGCCTCTGCAAAGAAGCAAACAATACAGGTCCACTCTGATATTTCTTTCTTTTCTTTGAGACTGTTTCACTTTTGTCACCCAGGCTGGAGTCCAATGGTGTGATCTCAGATCACTGCAACCTCCGCCTCCTGGGTTCAAGCGATTCTTCTGCCTCAGCCTCCCGAGTAGCTGAAATTACAGGCGTCTGCCACCACCCCCAGCTAATTTTTGTTTTGTTTTGTTTTTTCGAGACCGAGTCTCACTCTGTCACTCAGGCTGGCACAGTGGTGCAATCTTGGCTCACTGCAACCTCCACCTTCCGGGTTCAAGTGATTCTCCTGCCTCAGCCATGAGTAGCTGGGACTACAGGCACGTGCTACCATGCCCACCTAATTTTTTTTTTTTTTTTTTTTTGTATTTTTAGTAGAGACGGGGTTTCACCGTGTTAGCCAAGATGGTCTCGATCTCTGGACCTCGTGATCCGCCCGCCTCAGCCTCCCAAAGTGCTGGGATTACAGGCGTGAGCCACCACGCCCGGCAATTTTTGTATTTTTAGTAGAGACAGAGTTTCACCATGTTGATCAGGCTGGTTGCGAATTCCCGACCTCAAGTGATCCACCTGCCTCAGCCTCCCAAAGTGCTGGGATTACAGGTGTGAGCCACGGCACCCAGCCCCAATCTGATATTTCTTATGAAAACTTCCAGCAAAGCAAACGTAAGGTGGCCTATATGGGATATTTGCACTGTTTCTGCACCTATGTAAATAATTGGACCACACTTGCTGACACCAGCTTCATTTTATGGCCCAGTGTGATTTATTTTTTATTTAATTTAATTTTATTTTATTTTGAGACAAGGTCTCACTTTTTTGCCCAGGCTGGAGTGCAATGGCTCAATCTCGGCTCACTGCAACCTCCACCTCCTGAGCTCAAGCAATTCTCCTGCCTCAGCCTCCCGAGTAGCTGGGATTACAGGCATGGGCCACCACGCCTGGCTAATTTTGTATTTTTAGTAGAGACAGGGTTTTTCCATGTTGGTTAGGCTGGTCTGGAACTCCCAACTTCAGGTGATCTGCCTGCCTCAGCCTCCCAAAGTGCTGGAATTACAGGCATGAGCCACTGTGGTCAGTTTTTTTTGTTTTGTTTTGTTTTTTTTGAGATAGAGTTTTGCTCTGTCGCCCAGGCTGGAGTGCAGTGGCGAGATCTCGGTTCTCTGCAACCTCTGCCTCCCGGGTTCAAGTGATTCTCTTGCCTCAGCCTCCCAAGTAGCTGGAACTACAAGCATGCGCCACCATGCCCAGTTAATTTTGTAATTTTAGTAGAGACGGGGTTTCGCCATGTTGGCCAGGCTGGTCTTGAACTCCTGACCTCAGGACCTGCCTGGGCCTCCCAAAGTGTTGGCATTACAGGCCTGAGCCACCACACCCAGCTAAATTAATTAGTTAAATGAACCTTTGACACACTGTCCTCATTTCCTAGGGCTGCCAGAACAAATTACCACAAAGTTAGTGACTTAAAATTGATGAACAATTTTATTCTCAGTCACTTTGCAAGCCAGGGACCTCCAGCCGACGATGCCCCACCTGGGCCTCGCTGGGCCACAATACCTGCTGCAGAGACAGCTCGCCCACTCACCCCACCTGGGCCGAGTCTGGCTTGTGCACTGGTTCCCAAGTTCTTGTCCTGCACCCACAAAGAATGGGGATACACTGGCAATCGAAGAGTGAGGGTGGAGATTTTATTGAGTGATACAATAGGTGGGGGGTTTATTGAGTGATAAAACAGTTTTCAACAGAGAGGCGATTTGGGGGTGGTCCCCCTACTTAAAGGCAGGAAAGTCCCCTCAATGTGGCTGAGTCCAGGGCTTTTATGGGCTCAGTATTGGGGAGGGGCAGGTCATAGGTAGTATTAGAGAAGGCAACATTCAACTGGTTAAAAGCATTATTCAGGCTGGGTGTTGTGGCTCATGCCTGTAATCCCAACACTTTGGGAGGCTGAGGCAGGCAGATCATCATCTGAGATCAGGAGTTTGGGACCAGCCTGGGCAACATGGTGAAACCTTATCTCTACTAAAATACAAAAAATAGCTGGGTGTGGTAGCATTCACGTTCGCCTGTAATCCCAGCTACTGGGGAGGCTGAGGCATGAGAATTGCTTGCACCAGGAGGTAGAGGTTGCAGTCAGCCAGGATCGTGCTACTGCACTCCAGCCTGGGTGACAGAGTGAGGCTCTCTCTCTCAAAATAATAATAATAATAATAATAATAATAATAATAATAATAATATAAACTAAAAGCATTATTCGGAAAGAACCCATCAGGAAAGGGCAGGCAAACAGGAACAGAAGTTCTCGCTCTGGGTCTCGAGTTTCATCCCAGACCAGCAGTTCTGTCTTTCAGGCTTCAGGCTTTTTGGCTTGGAGGTGTGGTTTCACCGGGGACCCGCCCTATCTGCCTATGCATTTGGCTGCCTCCTGTCGCTATCAACACGTCAGGGCTGAGTTAAGTGGCTCTTGCCTATAATCCCAGCGCTTTGGGAGGCGGAGGTGGGGAGGACTGCTTGAGACTAGGACTCAAGCAATCAACACTGTCTCGGGCTGGGCGCGGTGGCTCACGCCTGTCATCCCAGCCCTTTGGGAGGCCGAGGCGGGCGGATCACCTGAGGTCGGGAGTTTGAGACCAGCCTGACCAACATGGAGAAACCCTGTCTCTACTAAAAATACAAAATTAGCCGGGTGTGGTGGTGCATGCCTGTAATCTCAGCTACTTGAGAGACTGAGGCACGAGAATCACTTGAACCCGGGAGGCGGAGGTTGCGGTGAGCAGAGATCGTGCCATTGCAGTCCAGCCTGGGCAACAACAGTGAAACTCTGTCTCAAAAAAAAAAAAAAAAAAAAAAAAAAAACACTGTCTCTACAGAAAAATTTAAAAATTAGCTAGGTGTGGTGGTGCATGCCTATAGTCCCAGCTACTTGGGAAGCTGAGAAGGGAGGATCCCTTGATCCCAGGATGTCGAGGCTGCTGCAAGCCATGATCGCCTCACTGCACCCCAGTCTGGGCCACAGAGTGAGACCCTGTCTCTTAAAAAAATAAAAATAATAGTGCCAGGGGCTGGGCACGGTGGCTCACGCCTGTAATCCCAGCACTTTGGGAGGCCGAGCGGGCGGATCACGAGGTCAGGAGATCGAGACCATCCTGGCTAACACGGTGAAACTCTGTATTAAAAATACAAAAAAAAATTAGCCGGATGTGCTGGCGGGCGCCTGTAGTCCCAGCTACACGGGAGGCTGAGGCAGGAAAATGGCGTGAACCCAGGAGGCGGAGCCTGCAGTGAGCTGAGATCGTGCCAGGTACTCAGGAGACTGAGGCAGGAGAATCGCTTGAACTCGGGAGGAGAAGGTTGCAGTGAGCCAAGATTGCGCCATTGCACTCCAGCCTGGGCAACAGAGTGACACTCGGTCTCAAAAAAAATAAAATAATAAAAAATAAAAAAATAACAGCCAGAAATTTATTCTCTCACAGTTTTAGAAACCGGAAGTCTGAAATTGCAGTGCTGTGTATGTGTAAACAAAACAGACAAACAAAAACACTGGTCTGAAATCAAGGTGTCAACAGGGTTGGTTCTCTCTGAGGCTCTGAGGAAGAACCTGCCAGTTCTCTTTCCTGCTGTGGAGCTGCTGGCTCCGGGCGCCTCGGCCGTGATCCTCTCCCGTTTCTACCTCCACCTTCATGTGGCCTTTCCCTCTGTGTCCCAAATCTCCCTCTCTCTTCTCCTGTAAGGACACTGGTCACTGGATTCAGGGCCTGCCCTTACCCACAGTGACTTTGTCTAAAGACCCTTGGCTTAATTTCATCTGTAATGATCCCATTTCCAAATAAATTTGCATTCCCAGGCTCTAGGGGTTAGGACAGTGTCTTTTTTTTTTTTTTTTTTTTTGAGACAGTGTCTTGCTGTGTCACCAGGCTGGAGTGCAATGGCGTGATCTTGGCTCACTGCAACCTCTGCCTCCCGGGTTCAAGTAATTCTCCTGGATTCTCCTGCCTCAGCCTCCCAAGTAGCTGGGACTACAGGCGCCCGCCACCACACCCAGCTAATTTTTTGTATTTTAGTAGAGACAGAGTTTCTCCATGTTGGGCAGGACAGTCTTGATCTCCCGACCTCCTGATCCACCCGCTTTGGCCTCCCAAAGTGCTGGGATTACAGACGTGAGCCACCGTGCCTGGCCTGGACAGTGTTCTTTTGGGGGACAGTGCTCAGCCCAGGAGACATGAAATGAACACGTGCTCATTTTATAGCTATGTGAGAGCCACGCTTCTTAACACCTATTTAACCTTCTCTTTTTTCTTTTTCTTTCTTTCTTTTTTTTTTTTTTTTTTTTTTTTGAGACAGTCTCGCTCTGTCGTCCGGGCTAGAGTGCAATGGCTTGATCTTGGCTCACTGCAACCTCTGCCTCCCGGGTTCAAGCAATTCTCCTGCCTCAGCCTCCTGAGTAGCTGGGATTACAGGCACCCGCCACCACACCCAGCTAATTTTTGTATTTTTAGTAGAGATGGGGTTTCACCATGTTGCCCAGGCTGGTCTCAAACTGACCTCAGGTGATCCGCCCACCTCGGCCTCCCAAAGTGCTGGGATGACAGGCACGAGCCACTGTGCCTAGCCCCTTCTTTCTTTAATGACAGTTCTGGAGACCAAAGAGACTGGGAACACAGGGTTTTGGGAACGTGGGAGTTCTGGGAGGTGACGGACAGGCTTGAGAGCGGGCCCGCACTGAAGGGCTAGAGTGAGCTGCATTTCTGGGTCTTGGATGGGGCAGGGGCTGTGGGCACTTGGGACCTGGGGAAAGCTTTCACCACATCCCTGGGCCCTGTGGCTCAGCTGTGTGACATCGACTCCCCGCCACACCCTCGGGGGCAGGATGTCACGCCCCATCCAGAGCCCTGCAGCCGGGCAGGATCCTAGGCCACAGTGTGTCTCCCGGGATGCTAAAACAGGACAGAGGTCATTCCTTCGTTCATTTTGGGGGTGTTTCCCAAGAGTGGGTGGCAGAGTCCTCCATCCGACCCTTCCCACCTGGGGCAGCCATGTCGGTTGGTGGCCAAGCCTCCCTGTGATGGCAGTGCCCGGGCCCCTAGGCAAGGCATGGCATATCCCACCATGCAGCTCACACTTTGCTCACGTCACGGCACAGATGCCTGGAGGCCTTACTGTGTCAGCCCACATGGCTCTTCTGGACCTGTTCCATTACAGAGGAAAGGTTGCCGAGGGAGGCAGATGTTAGCAAATGAGAACACTCCAGAAAGCCCGGCTCCGGGAGGGGCCCCAGGTCCATCTGTGAAGTTCTAGTCTGGGCTTTGGGGATGAGGGACTGAAGACTGGAGGCCAATCCCTGTCCTGCTAGCAAAGTGATGCAGGGCACACAGAATCATTGAGCCCAGCAAACTTGACCTTGGGGATGACAGAGACTTCACAGGAGACACGCCATAACAGAAGGGGCACTAAAGGGCTGGAGGCACCGGCTTTCCCTAGGCAGGGACCACCCCATTGAAGAGATGCCTTTGGGTTCAGTCCCAGTGGGAGGAGCAAGAGGACTGTAAGAAGATGAGGACGAGGAGCCATGTGGGAGGAGGAGGGGCCACTTGTGGGAGGAGGAGGGGCCACTTGTGGGCGGAGGAGGGGTCACTGGTGGGAGGAGGAGGGGCCACTGGTGGGAGGAGGAGGGGCCACTGGTGGGAGGAGGAGGGGCCACTTGTGGGCGGAGGAGGGGCCACTGGTGGGAGGAGGAGGGGCCACTGGTGGGAGGAGGAGGGGCCATTGGTGGGAGGAGGAGGGGCCACTTCTGAGAGTTGTGAAAAGGCCTTGAGGCCTGAAAACCTCCCACTTTCAGCTACTGTGGCACCCTTAGGCCAAGCTGACTCAGGAGCCCTCGTGGATTCCACAAGGATGGTGTTTTGTTTCATGCTCACAGTGGGGTCTAGGAGGGCTTGCAGGCAGTAAGTGCCAGGACCCGTGTTGGCGCCCGAGGATCCCTGGCATGTTCGGGGACGGTGAGGTCAGTCCAGCAGCGGTGAGGTCAGTCTAGTAGCAGTGAGGTCAGTCTAGTAGCGGTGAGGTCAGTCTAGTAGCGGTGAGGTCGTCAGTCCAGCAGTAGCCTTGCTGGCTGCATGGCATGCCCGGGCCTGGGCCCCTACCCAGCCAGGGCTGTCACAGAGTGAGTAGCAGCAGCCTAGGGCACTGCAGGAGGCTGTGACGTCACTGACGTTCCCATAAGAAGCTAAGTGACAGGGACCAAGGGTGGCTGCAAAGTGAACCCCAGAATCTGAAGCCCTGGCCCTGGGAAGGTCTCCCCATGGGCACGGGAGCTGCTCCAGGACCCCTTTGGCCACTCTCCTGGTTGTCTTCCAGTTCCCAGTCAGGGGCGTCATCTTGGCCCTCACACAGGCAGGTGGTGAGTTGGAGTCCTGAGGTTAAAGAGATTCACGCTAATCACACTATAGCACGGAGTGTTAAAGAGAGGCGGATACCGGGCCGTGAGGACCTCAGGAAGCCCTCAGCCCTCCCCGGATTATCCACGTGCTTCTCACAGCGGTCCTTCCGGCAGGTGCCTGCCCGGGGAATGCGCAGTGCGCCGAGGGCGGGACTGGAACCCTCCGCTCTCAGGAGGCGCGGTCCGGGCGCCAAAAGGTAAGCCTCTGGGGGCCGCCAGGGGACGCTGCCCCGCCGCGGAGGCCGGCACGACTCGGGGCGTGGCCTCCAGCCTCGCCCACCGCCCACGGGGCGGGGCTCTGGCTCCGGCGCGTGCGCACTACGCGCCCTCCCGCAGGGCCTGCTGGGCTGCGAGACGCTAAGCGGCGCCGGGCGGGAGAAGAGCGGAGCAGTGGTCGGAGATGTGGCGACCGGTGAGGACTCTCCCGGCCCGGGGCGCCCGAGATCCTGCACACCAGCCCCAGAGACCCGAGACCCGCAAGTCCCCAGACCCCGCCCTAGAGACCCTCGGGGCTTTTTCCCTCTTTTTTTTTGAGGCAGGGTCTCGCTCTGTCGCCCTGGAGCGCAGTGGTGCGATCTCCGCTCACCGCAGCTTCCGCCTCCCGGACTCAGGCGATCCTCCCGCCTCGGCCCCGCAAGTAGCTGACACCGCAGGCGTGACCGCTCCCGGCCGACTCTGTTTAGCAGAGTCGGGGTCTCGCCGTGTTGCTCAGGCTGGTCTCGAATTCCTGGGCTCTAGCGATCCGCCCGCCTCAGCCTCCCCGAGAGCTGGGATTTCAGGCGGGAGCCGCGCCCGCAGCCCTGACGCCGCCTGCACCGGGAGCCGCAGGGGCCCCTCCGCCCAGCCCGGAGGCGGGTGCCCGGCGCCCCGGAGAGCGCGATCTCCAGAGGGCAGGGGCCCCGCGGGGAAGCCTCAGGCGCCGTTCCCCTCGCGAGGCGGCCTCCCGGAATCACGGACGCCTCCCTGCCCAGCCTGCTGCCCCGGACCTCCTTCGCTCGCCTCCCCGCCGGGCCTGCCCTGCCCTGAGGCGGCGGGCGGGCGGGGGCTGCAGGCCGGGCTCTGCTCTGAGCGCCCCTGCGTCGTCTCAGGGGCGCGCCCCCCATGGCTCCGAGGCCCCCTCTCTCAGGCTCTCGGCGTCTCCCCGCTCCCACGTCGCCGCCGGGTCCCGTTGCTCTGTCCCTGCGGTTAGGACTGCGGGGGGGCGGGGCAGAGGCCTTGACACGCATCTTACCCACCCCCTTCCAGAAGAGATGAAGGGGCTCCCAGCGCCGTTCCTTTTTTTCTTGGAATGTCAGCAGAGCTTGTGTTTGGCGATAAGCTAGCCTTGCCCGTCTGGCTATAAATAGCACAGATGGACGGCCCACTCGTGCCCCAGCCCAGCTGTGTGACCCCAGGGTGCTTCATGGGCCGGGGAGGTGGCCTTCAGTGCAGCTCCTTCCAGGTGACAAAGTCTTCCCACGTGCAGGCCACTCAGTCCCTCCCCAGCCCCAGCGAGTGGACAGGTCGGTTTAGCCTCTGGTTAGGAGCTGCTCATGGCCAGTGAGCAGGGCTGGGTCCAGGCGGCGTTTGAGGACTGGCTGGGGCTGACAGGGTCACACACCCTGGGAGAAGGACAGTGTCTGTGGTCGCCAGACCCACTTACCCTGCCCAGACTCCCAATCTGTCTCTTCCTAACTTTGGGGACAATTATGTGCCTCAGTTTCCCCTCATGTTGAGGTGCACAGTGCTGTTGGGTTCCCCAGGCTCTGGTCATCCGTTCATGGTTTTTAGTTTCTGGCATCATTCTGAGACTCGGCAGTTGCTTCTCACTGCTGCGGCCGGGCCTGTCTGTGGGAGCTGCATCCTCCTCATCTGCAGGCGCTGGAAAACCAGACACGATCGGACATGCATGTGGTTCTGCGGCCAAAGCACGCCCTTTGGTTGTGAACTTCATGATACCTGTGTGAGTGTTACCACTCAGAATACTTGCCGCTTTCAAGGTAGTCAGCTGTGGTCTAGAGTCACTCTGGAACGGGAGGTGTTTCCGTTTGTGCAGACAGACTGCACACACTCACCATAAGAAAGCATGAGAGGTTCTGACAGGGGGCACCCGTTTCATCTTGTCCAAACTGGAAGGCTTTGGAAGTCAGGGGAGCTGCAGGGATAAGTGTCACCAGGGCCGTCTCAGGTGTGTTGGGGGAAGGCCCTGGGGACCCACCGTCTAAAAGACGGCTTATCTTCTGGCAGTTTAGAGGTCGTGTTCTGGGTGCGGTTGGGGCTGTGTGTCACGTGAGAATTGCCCTGGATTGGGCTCTGGGAAGTCCTTCTGGGAGATGCAGCTGCAGGCTCGCCCCCCAACCCATAACCTCTCTGGGCCTTGGGGACCTCTCCTGTGTGATGGGAATTTCAGAGAGGATAGTCTGGGTGTGCTGGGCGCTCCACATTTGGAGGAGACAGGCTCTTGCTCAGCCTCATGGGCCCTGGCAGGCACTGTGGGTTATCAGTGCCTGTTGCTTGGCAGGGCCATGTGGGGTTCAATTGAGTCCTGTGCTTCACAGCTGTTGGTCTCATTCGGCAGGCATTCATTGAGTGCCTGCTTGTTCAGAGATGGTTGAGAGGTGGCCCTGCTCACAGTCTAGTGGGAGGACAGATTCCGTAAGTTGACAGTCACGCTGGTGTGTGATGAGGACAGTGGCAGGATAGGACCACGGTGAACAAGGTGGAGCGGGACGTGAGCATGAGCAAGGCTGCTGGTGGACCAGGGTAGGGTGATGGTGGCCCGGGGTCTACTGGAGGGATCTCTGTCCTGGATAAGAATGGGAGTGAGAGACGCAGCTGGAGCCCCTTCTGCAATGCTGGTTCCTGAGGAAAGAGCAGAAAACTGTTGTTGGAGACAGCAGTCAGCCAGCCATGACTTTCCTGGCCTCACCTGTTTGGTGGAGCCTGTGGAAACAGCTTGCGTTGCTGGTCATGGATGAGGTGGGCAGTGGCTGGGATAGCCACCTGGAGGTAGCTCCCTTGCAGCCACTTACGAGCTGCTGTTCAGAGTCTCTCCACAGTCCGTGGGCACGACTGCCTGATCTCGGGGCCTCTAGCCATGCATGCACTGGCACCAGAGGTGGCTAGGGTCAGGAGGTGCAGGCTGGGTAGGCAGCAGGTGGATGGCCCGCCTACGAGTCGCTGCCCGGCTGCCTTGGGTTTTCCTTGTGAATCAGCACTTGCTGCATGTGACCTCGCCAAGCAGGGGTTTCTGTCAACCCGCCCTCTAGGGATAAGAGGTCATGGACTTTTCCCTTTGGCTTTCATGTTGTTTGGAGTCCTCAAAATTTTCTCCAGGGCTCTGAGCTCTGGCCAAAAACCAGCTGGCAAGTCAGTTCCTTACTAGGTCCAGTGTTGAGGACCATGTTAGCGTCTGTGCCACGGGGCATGACTGGCTATGCACAGTCCTTTCCACCCAAACCGTGACTTGTGTGAAGAGCTCTCAGTTGGGGAATTTGGGGAGTTGTGAGACCTCATCCTAGGTCAAGTGTGATTGGGAGACCAAGGTTTCCAGTGAGAGCTGTGGTGTTTTCTTTCTTTTTTTTAATAATACTGTAAGTTCTATGTGGTGTTTTCATAGTCACAAAAATAAAGCAGGGCCATGTGTCAAGAGTCTCATGGTGGGGCTTCTTTATTTATGTATTTATTTTTCTAAATGGAGTCCCATTCTGTTGCCCAGGCTGGAGTGCAGTGTCTCAATCTTGGCTCACTGCAATCTCCGCCTACCAAGATCAAGCGATTCTCCTGTCTCAGCCTCCCAACTACCTGGGATTACAGGTATGCGCCATCACACCTGGCTACTTTTTTTGTATTTCTAGTAGAGACAGGGTTTCGCCATGTTGGCCAGGATGGTCTTAATCTCCTGACCTCATGATCCACCCGCTTTGGCCTCCAAAAGTGCTGGGATTACGGGCGTGAGCCACCGCGCCTGACCCTTGGGACTTCTTTACGTGTGTCCTGCTAGCTGCAGCATGTCCTCTTCTCCTCCAAGTAAAAGATGTACAGGGTCCCTGTCTGTGGGGTCTCAGTAAGTTGTAAGTTTCTTCATCTGCTTTCAGAACAGTGACCTACGTAGGCCACTCCTCCCATCCGGGCGTCCACCTTCAAGGTTGGCGTCTGCTGTATGATTCCATGGCTGGGCACTGTTGCCACTTCCTTCGGAGATGAGGACTGCTTTCCTCTGGCCACTGGTCAGTGGTCTCAGCAGCAGGAAATAGTAAAATAGTAAATGACAGGTCAGGGTGCTGCCAAGAGAGTGCAGGGGCAGGGATGGGGTGGGTCCCATCCCAGATGAGCCAGATGGTGATGCCATCTCTTCCTGCAGAGACTGAGGGGACATTCAGAGACGGGGTATGTTTGATGCCCTGTCAGCATCTGAGGCATCAGCCCTGGTTAAGCTGCGTTTAGCCTTCTCTCCTATGATACTTTGACACTCAGCCTTGCTCCCAGGAGGTAGGATAGTGTTTCCATTACGGAATCAAAGATGGGAACCTGGCTTCCTGGCATGATCCCAGCGGTGCTGGCAGTCTTTGCTGACTGACTTGGTGATGTGGTTTGGCTTTGTGTCCCCACCCAAAGCTCATCTGAGTCGCGATTCCCAGTGTTGGAGGAGGGGCCTGGTGGGAGGTGATCTGGTCATGGGGGCAGATTCCCCCTTGCTGTTGTGGTGATAGTGAGTGAGTTCTCAGATCTGATGGTTTAAAAGTGTGTGTGGCACTTTCCCCTTTGCCCTCTCGCTTGCTCTCTCTCTCTCTCCGCCCCCCCCACTGCTTCACCCATACTGTGCTTGCTTCCCATTTGCCTTCTGCCATGACTGTAAGTTTCCTGAGGCCTCTCAGTGGTGCTTCCTGGACAGCCTGCAGAACTGTGAGTCAGTTAAACCCAGGCCAGGTGCGGTGGCTTACACCTGTAATACCAGCACTTTGGGAGGCTGAGGAGGGCAGATCACTTGAGGTCAGGAGTTCTAGACCAGCCTGGCCAACATGGTGAAACTCCGTCTCTACTAAAATACAAAAATTAGCTGGATGTGGTGGCGTATGCTTGTAGTCCCAGCTACTCGGGGGGCTGGGGCAAGAGAATCACTTGAACTCGGGAGGCGGAGATTGTAGTGAGCCGAGATTGTGCCATTGCACTCCAGCCTGGGCGACAGAGTGAGACTCCATCTCAGAAAAACAAACAAACCTATTTTCTTCATAAATTACCCAGTCTTGCTTGGGTAGTTCTTTTTTTTTTTTTCTTGAGATGGAGTTTCGCTCTGTTGCCCAGGCTGGAGTGTAGTGGCGCGATTTCAGCTCACTGCAACCTCTGCCTCCCGGGTTCAAGCGATTCTCCTGCCTCAGCCTCCCGAGTAGCTGGGATTACGTACATGCACCACTATGCCCAACTAATTTTGTATTTTTAGTAGAGACGGGGTTTCACCATGTTGATCAGGCTGGTCTCAAACTCCTGGCCTCAGATGATCCACCCGCCTCGGCCTCCTAAAGTTCTGGGATTAAAGGTGTGAGCCCCTGTGCCCGGCCTGGGTAGTTCTTTAGAGCAGTGTGAGAATGGACTCACACATTAGGTTTAGAGTTAGGCTGCCTCAGACTCCAGCACATGTAAGTGCTGGTACTGGTTGAGGGCAGGGGCGTGTCCTGGCCTCGTTCGACCCCACACAATTTCCTCTCTTTGCAGGTGCAGCTCTGTCATTTCCACTCTGCTCTGCTGCACAGCAGGCAGAAGCCCTGGCCGTCCCCTGCTGTGTTCTTCAGGAGAAACGTCAGGGGCCTTCCTCCAAGGTAACGAGTCCTCCACGGGCATGCGCCTCTCACCCAGGCAGGCATGGATGGCGTCTGTGTGCATGCAGAGGTGGCAGTCGAGGGCCCAAGGCTGGACCTTCTCCTGTACCCACAACCAAGGCAGGATATGTTTGCTCCTCAGTGCGGTGCACTGGGACCAAAGACCCCCAGGGACCCATGGGACCGTGCTCAGGGGTGGGCACACCCTGATCACAGCATTTAGAGCAGACAGCTAGCAAATCGGGAAGGGTGCACATGGAGCGCCTGCTCTGAAGAGCAAACCGGGTCATTCAGAGCATGGAGGAGGGCGGGGTGACTATAGGTGGGAGTCACACAAGAGGAAGAGCAGCAAGAAGAGATGTGGAGGGATGGGTCTGAGCAGAAGGAAAGGCCAGACAATGTCCTGAGGCCAGCAAGTCCGGACCACAGTGCGCAGATGGACGGTGGCAAGGCAGGAAGGCCGTGGAGGGTAGATGTGGCCAGGCAGGGCAGGCAGGGTGAGCTGTCCAAGCGCCACTGGCTCAGTGAACCTGGCAGGGGTCTCCTTCTCCCGAGAGCTCTGCAGTAGGACAACCTGTGTCCCTGGGACAGATGCGGCCAGCTACAGAAACAGATGGGTGCTCAGGCGCCTGCGGCTGGGTGCAGAAACAGATGTGCACTCAGACACCTGCTGCACTCAGGATTATGGGCCGGGTGTAGAAACAGATGTGTGCTCAGGCACCTGCTGCACTAAGGATTATGGGCCGGGTGTAGAAACAGATGTGTGCTCAGGCACCTCCCGCAGTCAGAATTATGGGCCGGGTGTAGAAACAGATGTGTGCTCAGGCACCTCCCGCAGTCAGAATTATGGGCCAGGTGTAGAAACAGATGTGTGCTCAGGCACCTGCCGCAGTCAGGATTATGGGCCGGGTGTAGAAACAGATGTGTGCTCAGGCACCTGCTGCACTCAGGATTATGGGCTGGGTGTAGAAACAGATGTGTGCTCAGGCACCTGCTGCACTCAGGATTATGGGCTGGGTGTAGAAACAGATGTGTGCTCAGGCGCCTGCTGCACTCAGGATTATGGGCTGGGTGTAGAAACAGATGTGTGCTCAGGCGCCTGCTGCACTCAGGATTATGGGCTGGGTGTAGAAACAGATGTGTGCTCAGGCGCCTGCTGCACTCAGGATTATGGGCTGGGTGTAGAAACAGATGTGTGCTCAGGCACCTGCCGCACTAAGGATTATGGGCTGGGTGTAGAAACAGATGTGTGCTCAGGCACCTGCCCCACTCAGGATTATGGGCTGGGTGTAGAAGCAGATGTGTGCTCAGGCACCTGCCCCACTCAGGATTATGGGCTGGGTGTAGAAACAGATGTGTGCTCAGGCACCTGCCGCACTAAGGATTATGGGCTGGGTGTAGAAACTGATGTGTGCTCAGGCACCTGCCCCACTCAGGATTATGGGCTGGGTGTAGAAGCAGATGTGTGCTCAGGCACCTGCCCCACTCAGGATTATGGGCTGGGTGTAGAAACAGATGTGTGCTCAGGCACCTCCCGCAGTCAGGATTATGTGCCGGGTGTAGAAACAGATGTGTGCTCAGGCACCTGCTGCACTAAGGATTATGGGCCGGGTGTAGAAACAGATGTGTGCTCAGGCACCTGCTGCACTAAGGATTATGGGCCGGGTGTAGAAACAGATGTGTGCTCAGGCACCTGCTGCACTCAGGATTATGGGCCGGGTGTAGAAACAGATGTGTGCTCAGGCACCTGCCGCACTCAGGATTATGGGCTGGGTGTAGAATCAGATGTGTGCTCAGGCCCCTGCTGCACTCAGGATTATGGGCCGGGTGTAGAAACAGATGTGTGCTCAGGCACCTCCCGCAGTCAGAATTATGGGCCGGGTGTAGAAACAGATGTGTGCTCAGGCACCTGCTGCACTCAGGATTATGGGCCAGGTGTAGAAACAGATGTGTGCTCAGGCACCTGCCGCACTCAGGATTATGGGCTGGGTGTAGAATCAGATGTGTGCTCAGGCCCCTGCTGCACTCAGGATTATGGGCCAGGTGTAGAAACAGATGTGTGCTCAGGCACCTGCCGCACTCAGGATTATGGGCCGGGTGCAGAAACAGATGTGTGCTCAGGCACCTCCCGCAGTCAGGATTATGGGCCGGGTGTAGAAACAGATGTGTGCTCAGGCACCTCCCGCAGTCAGAATTATGGGCCGGGTGTAGAAACAGATGTGTGCTCAGGCACCTGCTGCACTCAGGATTATGGGCCGGGTGCAGAAACAGATGTGTGCTCAGGCCCCTGCTGCACTCAGGATTATGGGCCGGGTGTAGAAACAGATGTGTGCTCAGGCCCCTGCTGCACTCAGGATTATGGGCCGGGTGTAGAAACAGATGTGTGCTCAGGCCCCTGCCGCACTCAGGATTATGGGCCGGGTGTAGAAACAGATGTGTGCTCAGGCACCTGCCGCACTCAGGATTATGGGCCGGGTGTAGAATCAGATGTGTGCTCAGGCCCCTGCTGCACTCAGGATTATGGGCCGGGTGTAGAAACAGATGTGTGCTCAGGCCCCTGCTGCACTCAGGATTATGGGCCGGGTGTAGAAACAGATGTGTGCTCAGGCACCTGCTGCACTAAGGATTATGGGCCGGGTGTAGAAACAGATGTGTGCTCAGGCACCTGCTGCACTAAGGATTATGGGCCGGGTGTAGAAACAGATGTGTGCTCAGGCACCTGCTGCACTAAGGATTATGGGCCGGGTGTAGAAACAGATGTGTGCTCAGGCACCTGCCGCACTCAGGATTATGGGCCGGGTGCAGAAACAGATGTGTTCTCAGGCACCTCCCGCACTCAGCGTTATGGGTTTCCTGCTGGTTTCAGCATATATGGAGCTGCTACTGTGTTCAGCATAGGTAGAGCTCCTGCTGTATTCAGCGAGTATTGGGCTCCTGCTGTATTTGGCAAGTATTGGACTCCTGCTGTATTCAGCGAGTATTAGACTCCTGCTGTATTCAGGGAGTATTGGGCTCCTGCTGTATTCAGCAAGTATTGGGCTCTTGCTGTATTCAGCAAGTATTGGGCTTCTGCTGTATTCAGCGTGTATGGTGATCCTACTATATTCAATATGGGGCAAGCTCTGTTTCTTGCTCTGTACTGTCATGCGACTCAGCACGTGCCGACCGCAGCATCTTCTCTGTCTCTGCTGTGCTGATGACCATCCAGTTGAATCCTGCGAGGTGGACGGTGGTTGTGATTCTCCACAGTGTAGGAGACCACGGTCCGTGAGGAGCACAGACCTGCCATTGAGCTGCTTCCTTTACCTGAGGAGCCATTTCCATGTCCCATGGCCCATTGGCTGCGTCTCTGGACAGACCTGAATGAGACCTGCCCCTTATGGCCATCTGGTGCCGGGCTTTGGTGCAGGGGCATCTGGTGCAGGGGCTCAGGGAAGGGGACGCTGATGCGGTGGTGTTCTCTGCTGACCACACGTCAGAATGGCTGTGCACACAGGAGTGAGACGTGGTGCTGGGGGAGGTGGGGGCAGAGATCAGAGCCCAGCTGAATGTGGGGGGCGGCGCCTCCAGGCTGCATTGTCTCTCCTCAGGTTCTCCAGCCCCACACCCCTGTGGAGGAAGGTGCTCTCCACCGCGGTAGTGGGGGCGCCCCTGCTCCTCGGAGCCCGCTATGTCATGGCAGAGGCACGGGAGAAGAGGAGGATGCGGCTCGTGGTGGATGGCATGGGGCGCTTTGGCAGGTAGGAGGGCCTGGCGGCAGGCAGGGGTTGCGGCGTGGCGGGCGGGGTGTGTGCGGTGCAGGATTGCCTGCTCCAGATGCCTTCACAGACGAGGGGCGTGAGCCTGGGAGGCCTGCAGAGCTTGCTGAGGATTTTACAGCTGCTTTTCAGGCGTCCTTTCCTACATGGGAAGGTGCTGGCTGAAGGGACAGTGAGCACTGGCGGGGCCTATAGGAGGTGGTGTAGACAAGGGTCCTCCACATTGGATGCAGCCGCCACAGGCCCTTCCCTAGTTCAGCCTTGGCCTTAGTGGGGAGGCGCTCCAGCCCTGGGCCCGTGCCTTCTCCCTCAGGCTTCTAGGCTGGCAGAGAAGCAGCTGCCCTGCCTTCCTTCTCTTCTTGCCCCATTCCAAGGTTTGGGCCTGGGAGAGGAGGCTGCCTCTGTCCCTTGCCCTGGAGATGGGCAAAATCGGGTTATTGCTGTCAGGGCCCTTTCTTCCTCCATTACCTTACAGTGAAGAACTCAGGGGGAGGGTGAGGACACCTTCTGTTGGAACCCTTGGGTGGGCATTCCTGCTTTTGTCAGATCCCGGAATTCCTGCAGCCACAAAGCCCTGCTAGCCTGAGCCTGGTGGAACCAGCTCTTGGCTTTGAGAGAAACCTGTTAGCCCAAAGCCCTTTTTTTTTTTTTTTTTTTTTTTTGAGACAGAGTCTCGCTCTGTCACCCAGGCTGGAGTGCAGTGGCGCAATCTCGGCTCACTCAAGCCCCGCCTCCCTGGTTCACGCCATTCTCCTGCCTCAGCCTCCTGAGTAGCCGGGACTACAGGTGCCCACCACCATGCCTGGCTAAATTATTTATTTATTTATTTATTTATTTAGTATTTTTAGTAGAAACGGGGTTTCACTGTGTTAGCCAGGATGGTCTCGATCTCCTGACCTCGTGATCCACCCGCCTCGGCCTCCCAAAGTGCTGGGATGACAGGCGTGAGTCACCGTGCCCAGCCCCCAAAGCCCTTTTGAATGGAGCGTCAGGGCAGGAAGGAGGCAGGGAGGGTGTGGTCCTGTTCTGCCTGCCTCCGAGCATCTGCCAGGCCTAGGTCAGTTTCTCAGCAAGTGCCTCGGCTTCTGGTGCCTTCAGAGATTTCACCAGAAGTTTCACAGAAATTTCCTCCAGCAGTGAGTGGAAGCTTGTGGATAGCTGGGCACCTGAGGATTTTCAGCCTAAAAGACAAAACAGTCGTTCCCCACGTGGGTCTCCCTGGCATCTGGTTTTGCTTGGAGTTCCTGCTGTCCCTGCCTGCAGATTTTGGGTGGCATTGTCTGTCTTGCAGGGCCATCCAGTCTCGCAGCCTGGGGTGGGTGACGACAGAGCCTCGGGTCCTCTGCCTTTTTCTCGTGACCCTCCGCTGCAGTGCATGCAAGGGCCACACAGGGCTGCCAGCCACCGTCCCCTGCAGCCTGGTTCTGAAATGTCGGCTTGGCAGGCCTGGGTTTGTCTCACCCTCTATTTCATGGCATGCAGCTGTGTCTGGTGTCCACCTCCTCGGCCACCGGCTTGGTGAGCCTGCGTTTTGGGCTCACTTTGTGGGAAAACATCTTCTCACAGCTCGCTCTCAGGGGCTGAGCTGGGGTTGCAGGGAGGGACCTCTGTTGTTAATTTTCCCAGCAGTCTGCACGTTCTCCTTGGCTCTAAGCCGTCACGGTTGCATAGACAAGCAGGCCTGTGGAGCTTCCCTGGCAGGGCACAGGGTAGCCTGGGAACACATCCTGGGTGACAGCAGCACCCATGCAGGGGCCCAGGAAGGAGCGCGGGTGAGGAGCATGGCGGTGCCAGTGCACCATGAGAAAAGGCAGCAGAGGTCAGAACAGGCCACAGGTACCCAAATGATCAGGGGCTGCCCAGGAAGGTGGAAGGTTTGGGACAATGTTTCTCTGCCTCAGAGCCCTGTCTTTAATCTCTGCCACTCCTTACATTTTCTTTTTTTTTTTTTTTTGAGACGGAGTCTTGCTCTGTCACCCAGGGTGGAGTGCAGTGGTGCGATCTCAGCTCACTGCAACCTGTGCTCCCTTGGTTTAAGCGACTCTCCTGTCTCGCCTCCCAAGCAGCTGGGATTTCGGGTGTGTGGCACCACGCCCGGCTAGTTTTTGTATTTTTAGTAGAGACAGGGTTTCGTCATGTTGGACAGGCTGGTCTCCAACTCTTGACCTCAGGTGAACTGCTCAGCTCGGCCTCTCAAAGTGCTGGGATTACAGGTGTGAGCCACCACACCTGGCCCTAAACTTAAATCACCACCAGGCGCGGTGGCTCACGCCTGTAATCCCAGCTACTTTGAGAGGCTGAGGCAGGGGAATCACTTGAACCTGGGAGGCGGAGGTTGCAGTGAACCAAGATCACGCCATTGCACTCCAGCCTGGAAGACAGAGCCAGACCCGTCTCAAAAAATAAAAATAAAAAATAAAATCACCTATATGTGGCCGGGCATGGTGGCTCACGCCTGTAATCCCAGAACTTTGGGAGGCCGAGGTGGGTGGATCACGAGGTCAGGAGATCGAGACCATCCTGGCTAACATGGTGAAACCCCGTCTCTACTAAAAAATACAAAAAATTAGCCGGGCTTGGTGGCGGTTGCCTGTAGTCCCAGCTACTTGGGAGGCTGAGGCAGGAGAATGGCGTGAACCCGGGAGGCGGAGCTTGCAGTGAGCCAAGATCACGCCACTGCACTCTAGCCTGGGTGACAGAGCGACTCTCTGTCTCAAAAAAAAAAAAAATCACCTATGTGTTTTGCTTTCCCCCACCGCCCCTTTTTCTTTTATTTTTTGGAGACAGTCTCACTCTGTTGCCCAGGCTGGAGTGCAGTGGCTTCGTCTCAGCTCACTGCAACCTCCATATCCCAGGTTCAAGCAATTCTCATGCTTCGGCCTCCCGAGTAGCTGGGACTACAGGTGTGCGCGCCACCATGCCCGGCTAATTTTTTATATTTTTAGTAGAGATGGGGTTTTGCCATGATGCCCAGGCTGGTCTTGAACTCCTGAGTTCAGGTGATCCGTTTGCCTCAGCCTCCCAAATGGCTGGGATTACAGGTGTGAGCTATCATACCTGAACTAAATTTAACTTTTTTTTTAAAATTTTTTAATTTTTTATTTAACTTATTTTTTTTTATTTTTTGAGATGGAGTTTCGCTCTTGCTGCCCAGGCTGGAGTGCAATGGTGGGATCTCGGCTCACTGCAACCTCCATCTCCCGGGTTCAAGCGATTCTCCTGTCTTAGCCTTCTGAGTAGCTGGAATTACAGGTGCCCACCATCACGCCCGGCTAATTTTTGTATTTTCAGTAGCAATAGGGTTTCATCATGTTGGCCAGGCTGGTCTTGAACTGCTGACCTCAAGTGATCTGCCCGCCTCGGACTCCCAAAGTGCTGGGATTACAGGCATGAGCCACCACGCAGGCCATGCCTGGAGTTTTTGTTGGGGTATTAATACTTGGGCGGGATTGATTGAAAATCTCCAGTTTCTCAGAAAATCCCAGGAATTCAGTTTCCAGCCCCGGTCCTCCCGCTCCCATCCCCGTGGGCCCCAAAGTGGTGGGTCTTCGCCCTGAGTCCCTTCTTAGCATAAGCCCTCAGGGCCACCATGGAAAACAGAGGCACTCCTTATCACTCAGGAAATCCCAAGGACTTAAGAAGGGACAAAGGTCAGTCCTCTGTTTGGGTAAAGTTAATTCTTCATTGCACATGATTGGACACCTTTGAAGATTACAGGCTTGTAAGTATTGTATAACAAGAGTCAGCAAACTGTGGTCCCTGGGCCAAGTGCAGGGGCCTAGTGTGGCAGCTGTCTGATTTGCAAATAAAGCTTTATTGGAACACAGCCATGCCCATGCATTGCCTGTGACCACTTGGTGCACAGTTGCCCATGTGCTCATGCGTGGCCAGAGTGCCTAAAATAATTACCATCTCATCTTTTACAGAAATATTTCACTGCTTCTTATTTTGTCAGTGTGGGTTTGTCTGATGTTTGCTTGTGGTCATATTCGTCATCTGTTTTGGCAGGAATCACACAGGAGTGACACTGCTTCTGTCCTGCCGGGGGCACATGATTTCGGTTTCCCCCATTTGATTCCCTTGTAATTAGCCGTATGGAGGCAGTTGAGATGATGTGTCTGTTCTCACTGCTCCTCCACCCAGCAGTTTGTTTGTTTCTTTATTTATTTATTGAGACAGTCTTGCTCTGTCACTCAGGCTGGAGTACAGTGGCAACATCTTGGCTCACTTCAGCCTCTGCCTCCTGGGTTCAAGCAATTCTCCCAGCCCCAGTCTCCCCAGTAGCTGGGATTACAGACACCTGCCACCACACCCAGCTAATTTTTTTTTAATTTTTAGTAGAGATGGGGTTTCTCCATGTTGGCCAAGCTGGTCTTGAATTCCTGACCTTAAGTGATCCATCTGTCTCAGCCTCCCAAAGTGCTGGGATTATAGGCATGAGCCACTGCGCCTGGCCTCCACCCAGCAGTTTAGCACTCATTGATACTTTTTTTTTTTTTTGAGACAGAGTTTCACTCTTGTTGCCCAGGCTGGAGTGCAATGGTGGGATCTCCGCTCACTGCAACCTCCACCTCCTGGATTCAAGCGATTCTCCTGCCTCAGCCTCCTTAGTAGCTGGGGATTACAGGCACACGCCACCACACCCAGCTAATTTTGTATTTTTTAGTAGAGGCGGGTTTCTCTGTGTTGGTCAGACTGGTCTTGAACTCCTGACCTCAGGGGATCCGCCCGCCTTGGCCTCCCAAAGTGCTGGGATTATAGGTGTGAGCCACCACACCCGGCCTCCAACATTTTGTGAAAAACTTCAAACATACAGCAATGTTGAAAATGCTCTGTGAGGCAATGTGAAATGCAATGTGAAAATGCTTTGGGAGGCCGAGGAGGGCGGATCACGAGGTCAGGAGTTCGAGACCAGCCTGACCAACGTGGAGAAACCCCATCTCTACTAAAGATAGAAAAATTAGCTGGGCATGTGGTGGGCACCTGTAGTCCCAGCTCCTCGGGAGGCTGAGGCGGGAGAATTGCTTGAACCTGGGAGGCGGAGGTTGCAGTGAGCCTAGACTGTGCCACTGCACTCCAGTCTGGGCGACAGAGCGAGATTCCATCTCAAAAAAAAAAAAAAAATTAAATTCCTTCTCCCCCAAGCACAAGTCTGTGGGACTTTTTCACATCTTTAAGTTTTGTTACAAAAGTGTTGTGTTTACTATAACAAATTTTAATAGTAGAAAAGTTAGAGCCGGGCACGGTGGCTCACGCCTGTAATCCCAGCACTTTGGGAGGCCAAGGTGGGCGGATCACGAGGTCGGGAGATCGAGACCATCCTGGCCAACACGGTGAAACCCCATCTCTACTAAAAATACAAAAAAATTAGCCGGGCGTGGTGTTGGGCGCCTGTAGTCCCAGCTACTCTGGAGGCTGAGGCAGGAGAACGGCGTGAACCTGGGAGGCGGAGCCTGCAGTGAGCCAAGATCGCCACCACACTCCAGCCTGGGCGACAGAGCGAGACTCCGTCTCCAAAAAAAAAAAAAAAGAAACCGAAACCCTGGCCTAACCCAAGCACGCACTCCAGATGCTCTACGGGGGCCAGAGTGGGGCCTGAATGGCCGGGGGGTCGCCCTGGGTTGATGGGGGACACAGAGTCCACCTGAGCGCCAGAGCTGCGCTTCAGGAATGACTGTGGGCCCTGTCCCCAGGCAGGTACGTGAGCTTCACAGAACGCAGGGACAGGCCTCTGGCCATGGCCAGCCTTGGAGAAGCCACTCTGACCTCAGCCCCTCCCTGTGCACCTGTGTGTGGTCTGCCCGCTGCCTGGCGCCTCATTCCAGGGCTGCCCAGCTGGTCCCCAGAGTTCTCCCAGGGCTCCCACCCTGATATCCTCCTAACTGGGGCCAGGCCTGGGGACACCCCTCTACCCCATCCTCTTGCCTAAATCTCCCCCAGGAGCCCAGTACCTGCTCAACAGATACCCAGGATGTCCCCCACTTCCTGCCTTAACTGGGCTCTCTTCCCTGCAGACCTTGCCTCCCCAGGCCTTGGAGACCCACCCTCCTGGTGTCCTCCTCTCTTCCTAGTGGACCTCAGGCTGCAGGTGACCTTGACCCTCCTGTGACCTCTGCTGCCTCAGCCCTGCCCCCTTGCTGCCATCCTTTACCTTCACAGACAGCCTTGGAACCCCATCTCTCCAGAGGATGCCACCGTCCATACTGTCCCCTACCCCATCTCACCTGGGCACCCTTGAGGGTGGCAGGGAGTGAGGGTGGCATGGACACAGGCTGCCCATTCTGCAGATCTTTTTTTGTTTTTTGAGACGGAGTCTCGCTCTGTCGCCAGGCTGGAGTGCAGTGGCGCAATTTTAGCTCACCGAAACCCGCCTCCTGACTTCAAGTGATTCTCCTGCCTCAGCCTCCTGAGTAGCTGGCACTACAGGCACGCACCACCATGCCCAGCTAATTTTTGTATTTTTAGTAGAGACTAGGTTTCACCATGTTGGTCAGGATGGCCTCAATCTCTTGACTTTGTGATCTGCCCGCCTCGGCCTCCCAAAGTGCTGGGATCATAGGTGTGAGCTACCAAGCCCAGCCTCTTTTTTTTTTTTTTGAAACCGAGTTTCGCTCTTGTTGCCCAGGCTGGAGTGCAATGGCGCGATCTTGGCTCACTGCAACCTCTGCCTCTCGGGTTCAAGCAATTCTCCTGCCTCAGTCTCCCGAGTAGCTGGGATTACAGGTGTGCACCACCACACCCGGCTAATTTTTTTGTATTTTAAGTAGAAATGGGGTTTCACCATGTTGGCCAGGCTGGTCTTGAACTCCTGACCTCTGGTGATCCACTCACCTCGGCCTCCCAAAGTGCTGGGATTACAGGCGTGAGCCACTGTGCCCAGCTCTGCAGATCTTTTTTGGACGGAGTCTCGCTCTGTTGCCCAGGCTGGGGTGCAGTGGTGCAATCTCAGCTTACTGCAGTCTCCACCTCCTAGGCTCAAACGATCCTCCTGCCTCAGCTTCCTGAGGAGCTGGGACCACAGGTGTGCACCACCGTGCCTGCCTAATTTTTTTGCATTTTTGGTAGAGACAGGGTTTCAACATGTTGCCCAGGCCAGTCTCGAACTCCTGAGCTCAAGTGATCCTCCCAGCACAGCCTCCCAATGTGATGGGATAATTGACATGAGCCACCACACCTGGCCCCGTTCTACTGATCTTGAGCTGAGACTGACCTGCAGGGCCACAGGACACCCCACGAGCTCAGCAGCACCCCTTGTGCTCACACAGGCCTACGCGGCTGTAGGCTGGACCCTGGCTTGGCCTCACCCTTGGGACATGAAGGGCTGGCCGGGGTGAGGCTAGACCATGAGGGCTCTGACAAGAGGACCAAGCACCGGGGCCCCGAGCCTGCCCCGCTGGAGACTGAGGCCACCTCTGCCCGCAGGTCTCTGAAGGTCGGCCTGCAGATCTCCCTGGACTACTGGTGGTGCACCAATGTTGTCCTTCGAGGGGTGGAAGAGGTTTGTCCTGGTGCCCTGGGCACACAGTGGTGGGCATGAGGTGGTGGGCTGGGTGGGACTGAGGAGGCAGCCACCTGTCCCCATGTGTTCTCCCCATGCCTGTGGTCAGAACAGCCCAGGCTACTTGGAGGTGATGTCTGCGTGTCACCAGCGGGCGGCTGATGCCCTGGTGGCAGGGGCCATCAGCAACGGGGGCCTCTACGTGAAGCTGGGCCAGGGGCTGTGCTCCTTCAACCACCTGCTTCCCCCCGAGTATACCCGGACCCTGCGCGTGCTAGAGGACAGGGCCCTCAAGCGGGGCTTCCAGGAGGTGAGTGTGCGCTCAGGCCGAGGGAGGTGGGGCCTCCAGCAGTGGCCCCAGGCTGCTCTGAGCACCTGTCCTTCCAGGTGGATGAGTTGTTCCTTGAGGACTTCCAGGCCCTCCCCCACGAGCTCTTCCAGGAGTTTGACTACCAGCCAATTGCTGCCGCCAGCCTGGCACAGGTGCACAGAGCCAAGCTGCACGATGGCACCAGCGTGGCTGTGAAGGTATATGGGGGCTGCCTTGTTCAGCAGTGGGCTGGGGCGGGGCACAGTGGGGCCCCAAGTTCTCACCACACCCTCGCCCAGTGCAGGTGCAGTACATCGACCTGCGGGACCGCTTTGATGGGGACATCCACACCCTGGAGCTCCTGCTGCGGCTCGTTGAGGTCATGCACCCCAGCTTTGGCTTCAGCTGGGTCCTCCAGGTACAGCCCCACCCCTTCCCCGGCCAGCAGGAGCAAACACGTAGGCAGAGCTGGTAGGAGCAGCTGGTAGGCAGAGCTGGTCTTCAACCGCCATCTGGCCCCCAGGACCTGAAGGGGACCCTGGCCCAGGAGCTGGACTTCGAGAATGAGGGCCGCAACGCAGAGCGCTGTGCGCGGGAGCTGGCGCACTTCCCCTACGTCGTGGTGCCCCGCGTGCACTGGGACAAGTCCAGCAAGGTGGGCTGGGCCAGGCCCTTGGGGTGGGCACAGCGCTGGGCCTGCTGAGCCCAGCCTCTTGCTCTCCCCAGCGCGTGCTCACTGCCGACTTCTGCGCCGGCTGCAAGGTCAACGATGTGGAGGCCATCAGGAGCCAGGGGCTGGCAGTGCATGACGTGAGTGCGGGGGGGCGGGGGCGGGTCAGGGCGGGCTGGTGCTGTGTCCACTGCAATGCCTCTCCTCTCCCCAGATAGCAGAAAAGCTCATCAAGGCCTTTGCTGAGCAGATATTTTACACCGGCTTCATCCACTCGGACCCACATCCTGGCAACGGTAGGAATTTACCCCAGGGGTGGGGGTCTCAGGGTGGGCGCAGCGCGACCTAAGAGGCTGTATCCCTAGTTCTGGTGCGGAAAGGCCCGGACGGGAAAGCGGAGCTGGTGCTGCTGGACCACGGGCTCTACCAGTTCCTGGAGGAGAAGTGAGCGCGGGTGGGTGGGCGTGGGGCAGGGCAAGCCTCTCCTGCCGCAGGGAGCTCATGGCTGCGGGCCCATCCACACCCAGGGACCGCGCAGCCCTCTGCCAGCTGTGGCGGGCCATCATCCTGCGGGACGACGCCGCCATGAGGGCGCACGCAGCCGCACTGGGGGTGCAAGGTGAGGGCGTGCGGGGATGGCTGGGGCACCACAGAAGGGAGTCGGGCGGCGCGGAACCCACTCAGAGCCCCCTCCCTCCCTCCCTCCCTCCCTCCCCAGACTACCTCCTGTTCGCCGAGATGCTCATGCAGCGCCCCGTGCGCCTGGGGCAGCTGTGGGGCTCGCACCTACTGAGCCGCGAAGAGGCGGCCTACATGGTGGACATGGCCCGCGAGCGCTTCGAGGCCGTCATGGCGGTGCTCAGGGAGCTGCCGCGGCCCATGCTGCTGGTGCTGCGCAACATCAACACCGTGCGCGCTATCAACGTGGCCCTCGGCGCCCCCGTGGACCGCTACTTCCTTATGGCTAAAAGGTCGGTGGCCCGAGGAGGCGCCCGGGCCGTGGTGGGGCTGGTGTGGGGCTGACGCGGCGCTAACGCGGGTGTGTGCAGGGCTGTCCGGGGCTGGAGCCGCCTGGCGGGCGCCACGTATCGGGGTGTCTACGGCACCAGCCTCCTGCGCCACGCCAAGGTCGTCTGGGAGATGCTCAAGTTTGAAGTGGCGCTCAGGTGAGTGGCCGCGGGGCAGGTGGGTGGCGGGGGCCTGCTCCCCACCCACCTGTGACCTGTGACCTGACCCACGCAGGCTGGAGACCTTGGCCATGCGGCTGACCGCCCTCCTGGCTCGTGCTCTGGTCCACCTGAGCCTCGTGCCCCCAGCGGAGGAGCTCTACCAGTACCTGGAGACCTAGGGTGCAGCCGCCCAGGGCCGGCGGGGCCCTTTTCACCTTGGGCTGACGGAGGTGGCGGGGCTAGAGGTGTAGACACCCCGAGCCCCGTGGGCACTCGCACTGGGGGGCTGTGACAGCAGCTGGGCCAGGAGGCCGTGTAATGACCACACACTCCTCTCAAGCAAAAAATGTTTTTCCTTGTGTTTTGTACAAAAAGGGGGTGGGAGGTAGTTCCGTGTGCTGGTGGTGACGGCATCCACGGGGCTAGAAGTGGGCGGTGACGCGGTCCGTCTCCAGCAAGTCGTCCAGGATCTGCAGGGGATGGAAGGGTGGGTGGGTGGGTGGGTGGGGATGCACACGGAGGGGCGGGGCGCGCGGGGGGCGGGGCGCGCACTCACTATGTCTGGTGTGGTGCCGATCTTCTTGGCTAGCTCGCTGCGCTCCATGGTGCTCAGGTACAGGTAGCGGTTGAGCAGCTCCCCATCCAGCACGTTGCGCACGGCATTCTGGAGGGTGCGGCGGTCCACGTGCAGCATCCTGGGGCGTACAGGCACAGGTGTCAGGGCAGGCTGGGGTGGAGGGGGTGCTGCACGGGGGCGGGGCCGGGGCTCACCGGAAGGCGCGGGGGTTGAGGCCGGCGTGGTGTGGCAGCATGGTGGTCAGCGCGTTCTGCAGCATCAGCAGCCGCCGGTAGGTCTTCTCCTGCATGGGCAGCAGCAGCCCGATGCCGCCGTCCAGGGTGGCTGGCAGGGGTAGGGTGAGGGTTTTGGTGTGAGCCAGGCCAACCCTAGGGCCCCCCACCCAGACACACCTGCTCCCCCACACTCACCAAACCACGTGATGTGCTTATTCTCCCACACGACCGACTTTTTGCTGAGCCCTTCAGTGGCCCCCCGGCACGGGGTCCTCCAGAACGTGTTCACGTGGGCACCCACGTGGAAGTCTGCCCGACGCAGCAGGCGCATGCCCCCGAAACTCTCCTTGGCTAGACCAGAAAGGCCTAGGGGTCACTGCTAGCCCAGCCCCGGCCCAGGCAGAGGGGGTGGAGGAAGCACTCACCTTCGGGCAGGTACATGTACACCATGAGGTTGCGGTCGCGGTCAGACACTGGGGAGCAGAGGCCCAGGGTCAGCCCCGGCCACCCCCAGAGCCTCAGCTCCCCAGGGCCCTGCCCACATACCCAGAAAACCCAGCTGGGCATTGTCCACCATGAAGTCCACGCTGTACACCTCCAGGGGCTTGGCATCCTGGGGGCGGGAAGGGGGCGTCAGAGGTGCCTTGGGCGGGTACCCACCCAGACACGAGCACCGCCGCCACAGGTGTACCCGCGACACCAGGCTCAGCGTCTTGCTTTCCTCCTGGTAGCGCAGCAGCGAAATGCTCTTCATGACGTCGGCTGCCAGGATGAAGTTCTTGACGCTGATCATCTGGTGTATGTAGAGCTGCGTGTCGATGAAGGCCATGCCCGTCAGCTCGCTGGCCCGCAGGCTCCACAGGAAAATCTGGGGGCGAGGGCGAGGGTGAGCGGGCGCGGACGGGGAGCCGGGTGAGGGTGAGCCGGGGGACACACGCCGGGTGGGACTGGCACACCTTCTGGCCGATGGCCGACACCAGGTGGCCATTGCAGTGGCACAGGGCGGTCACGGGCCCCTTCTGCTCCTTCTCGTAAAGGACTTTGAACTTGTTCTTGGTCAAGGGCTGGCCAGGCTCGGGCACCACCTCAATCACATCCATGATCAAGATCTGGAGGGCATGGGTATGGCTGTGGGATGGCTGTGGGGATGGCAGAGGGGCTGCCAGTTCCCGCCCCCGCTCACTGGCCCCTTACCCGCCCTCGGCACGTGACCTCCTCCCCCTGCATGAGGCAGGTCCCGGCGGCCACGTAGCCTTTGAGGCCCGACACGGTCTCCTCACTGCGCAGAGACACTGTCTTCATGCAGGTCACATGCTCCCACTCCTGCAGCTCGATCCTGTGGGGGCCAGGGGCCTCAGGATGCTGCCTGGAGGCCTTGGGCAGACCCCACCCCCGCCGGCCCAGCCTCACCTGGCATTGGGAATAGCCTCCCAGCTGACCGGGGAGATGAGCTGGATGGAGAAGGCCTCCTGCTGGGGGTGGATGTACCGCTCATCTGTGGGGACCAAGGGTGACAGTCAGAGTAGGGCTTCCCCAAGATGCGGCTGAGGATGGGAGTATGGTGTGGGCGTCACCACCTCTCTCGATGGTCTCAAACTCCTTCTCCTCGCCAGTCATGCGTGGGATGCGGGCACACGGCGTGTTGGTGCTGGTGGCCACAGCATACACCTGTGGGTTAGTGAGGGTCACACACCAGTGGCCCGGCCAGGCCCAGAAGGTCCCTGGTGGGGTGGGGGTGGGGGCAGACCTTAGACTCCACGTGGTAAGCCACATAGTGGGCCGTGCAGCGCAGCGGGATCTTCCTGACAGGCCATGGGGCATCATAGGACAGGTAGGCAGGCAGGACACTGATCCTCAGCTCGCCCTGGGGTGGGGGCACAGGGGTCAGGGGATCCAGGGCTAGCCAAGGGCAGGGGCAGGCAGGCCCAGGCCGCCAAGAGCCCTGGGATGTTGCCCTCAGCTCTGTGGGAGCAGGGGTGGGTGAGGGGCAGCTGTGTCCTGGCGAGGTCCTGGAAGGGGCTGCCACTCAGCCTCTGGGGCTCCTCCTGTCCATTTTCCCACGCTCAGCTGGGGCTAGGGGTGCTGGCCACAGGGGATGGGAAAGCTAGGCCAGGAGGGCACTGGAGGCTGCAAAGGGCAGCCCACAGACTGCCATGCTGGGGACTGAAAACCAGGCAGAGGGAGCCAGGGCTGCCCTCTTTCATGGACAGTCCTGAGTCCTCAGGCACCCAGGAAGCACTCACCGCATCCCAGGCAGGGTCTCAAGTGACCTGGTGGTGTGGTGGCTTAAATAGGGAACCAGGATGAGAAAGCCTGTGTGCCCTCCCAAAGTCACAGAGCAGCCAAGGGGCAGAGCTAGCACTCACGTCAGCTCTCCTGAGAAGTGTGGAGGCCAGGCCCTGCGAGGGCTTGCCCGGCGAGCCGGCAGAGCAGTGGTGGGGACCCCAGGGGCTGCAGCCCCAGCTCCCAACCACCCCTTTCCAGACCTTTGGAGCAACCAAGTCACAGGTTCCACCTCCTCGACCTCAACCCCATCGCCCTCTGGACACTCCTTCCTGGTCCTCAGGGTGGAGCCAATGGTCCCTTCTCCTGTCCCCTCCCCCTCAGCCCCCAGCTGGGGCAGCATCAGCCAGTGCTGCTGGGAACCGGCCGGGCCCCACCTGTCTGTTGAAGTACAGGAAGCCGCGGGGACAGTTGACATTGTGGAATGGAGCGAAAGAGTCGACCGGGCCGTCGATGGCCATGGGGTGTAGCCGCAGAGCCCCTCGGCCGGTCACCAAGAGCCAGTGAGGGGAGGGGCCGCAGATGAAGACCTGGGGGCAGGCACCGTGAGGATGCTGTGGATGAGGATGCTGCGGATGAGGCCGCGTCTCCCTTCTACCACAGACCCCTGCAAAGGCGCTGGCCTACCCCTGAGTAGCCATAAATATCCTCGAAGTAGCGGAAACGCGCCACGCGGCCCCGGGCCCCAGCCCCCTCCTCTGCGCCGCCACCTTCTGCTTTCTTCTTGGATGGCTTTGGCTTCTTCTCACGGAAGTTGATGTTGTGAGGGACCTGGGGGGGAACCATGCAGGTCCTCCAGGGGCTGCCGGTCTGAAACCCACACCTTGTACCACACCCACCCCACGCCCCAGCAGTCCAGCCACTGGCACCTTCTTAAAGCGGACTTTGAGATTGCCCTGGCCGAGCTGAGAGTCGTGGGGGAAGGCCTCGTAGATAAGCAGCTCTTGGTCCACATGCACCTGGCAGGATGAGGGGAGCCATGGGGGAACGGGCAGGGCCATGGAGAACATGGGATGGGCCATGGGAAGAGGTGGGCTGTGGGTAAGGGGCGGGGCTGAGATGGGGTGGAGCCATGTATGGGAAGGGGCGGGGCTGTGAGGGAGATGGGGTGGAGCCACGGGAAGGGGCGGGGCCGTGGGGGAGATGGGGTGGAGCCACGGGAAGGGGCGGGGCTGTGGGGGAACGGGCAGGGCCAGGGGGAAGATGGGAAGGGGAGGCCAGGCCAGGCGCACTCACCAGCAGGTAGGGCCTGCTCTGGCGGCTGCCCAGCGCCACCAGCAGCACCTCCTTGACGAGGGGCAGCTCCCCCTGGCGCGTGGCCTCCTCCCTGCGGGCCTCGCCCTGTGTAGTGGGCTGTCCAAAGGAGCTGTCCACAAGGACCCGCTGCCCCACAGGGAAGTTCTTCACCAGGAACACCAGCCGCCAGTCGGGAAGCTGGTAGATCTGCAGGGTGGGCAGCAGTCAGTGGAGGCAGGTGGGTGGAACCCGCTGGGCCACAGTGCAGGGCACCACCTACCTCCATGGTGCCATTCTCCCGCACCAGCAGGCACCAGTGGGTAGGCTCTGCCCGGAAGGGTGCAGGGTCCCGGTCAGCAGGGGGCTGGCTGCTTCTTCGGGCCTCCTCCTTGCTGGGGCTGAAGAGGGAGCCCGAATCCCCATACAGCATCTCCTCCTCGTCATCCACTGTGGGGCTGGGGGCCAGCAGAAGGTCATGGGCGGCCTGCCAGCCCCAGGGACCCAAGCCCCTACCTGCGCCCCCAGCCCCCACGCACCTAGTCTCTGAGCCCAGGCCCTCGGCCTCCGGGCCACTGCGGCCCCCGAGCTCGTCACGGGCCCCACCCAGGCGGCTCTCAGTGGTGAACATGCCGCTGAGGTCTCGGTACAGGCACAGCGTAATCACCTTGGACTGCTGCGGGGAGAGGGGTGGGCTCAGCGGCGGGCAAGGGGCAGGGACAGGAGGGCGCCGGGAATGAGGGGGCCTACATGGTGCAGCGGGGGCTTGTGCAGCGCCAGGCGGTGGTGGCGGCCACCGTAGGAGTCACTCTTCAGCAGGAACATGGTGACGTGGCCCTCGGCACTCATGATGACCACATAGGGGTCGGCCACGGCGCACTGCACGATGGGGGCGCCCAGGTCCACGGGGATGAAGTGCAGCTGATTCACTGTAGGCATGGGGCAGTCAGCATGCGCCTCCCCACCACCGTCCCCACCCACCTACCTCCTTCCAGCAGGCGGATGCCCAGGGCCCAACCACCTCCCCCCCACCGTCCCCACCCACCTACCTCCTTCCAGCAGGCAGATGCCCAGGGCCCAACCACCCCCCCCACCTACCTCCTTCCAGCAGGCGGATGCCCAGTGGTGACACTTGGACAATGTAGCGGTTGTCCCCGATGTTCCCAGCAAAGACCGTGGGGCCCTGAGTGGCGAAGCCACTGGTGTCCAGCTCCATGATCTCCTGCCCCGTCTGCAGGATCTGCGGGCGACAGCTGTGAGGGAGGCGCCCCCCGCAGGGGACCCCAGCCCCAGGTCCCAGGTCCCAGGCCCTGCCCCTCACCATGGTGGAGTCTTCCCGGCTCAGAATCAGGAATCCGTGTCTGCGGCCGTCGTCGTCTGCTTCAGGGGTGGTGCTGGGTTCCTGCTCTGTGCCCTCCCCCTTGGGATTGTCCTCCTGTCAGGGCCAAAGGGGGGCAGGCTGGAAGCCACAGTCCAGTGAAGGCAGGCACGCAGGTGCGACCTGGGCACCCCCGGCCTATGAGAAGGCAGCGCCGGTCCCATCCCAGGGCCTCCCTGCAGCAGGCTCGCACCTACCTCCTCCTTACGCACCGGGGCGATGACTGTCCACATGTCATAGCAGCCGGGAAGCTCAAAGGTTGTCACCACCTGGGGCCGGATGCTCTTCTAGAATGATGATGGGGTGGGGGTGTGATGGGGGTGTGAGCCCACCCAGGTCCCACCAGGAGGCGCCCGCCCCCTACCTGCCCACACACCTGCAGCACCGACAAAGCCCCGTTCTTCCCGTGGCCGGAGCAAACCACAATCTCCAGGTCCGGCTCGGGGCTGTTCTGAAACTGCACAGGACTCGGGGGTGAGGACTATGCCCCCCACCCCCCCTCACACTCCAGCCCCTGCCCCCAGCCCCGACCCCAACCCTGGGCACCTCTTCAGAGAGGAAGGCAGGCTCGCCCACGGCGGCATTGGCACAGGGTCCAATGTTCAGGATGCTGTCACACACCTGCGGCACAGCAAGAGTCAGGGGCCCGCTGGGGGCGCTGGCTGGGACGGGGGCCCTGCTGCCTCAATCTCACCTCAAAGGAGTAGGTGGCCAGCTGTGTTCCCGACTGGGCCTCGCTGCCGTACACTTCAATCTCGTCCACCTCATCCTGCGGCACCGACTTACCCGCAGCTGCACACAGAGAGCCCACTTGAGCGCAGCCCTGGGTCACCTGGCCCCGCTCCTGACCAGCCCTGGACCGGCCCTCACCTGACCAGCCGGCCGTCGCATCCACTCGCTTCTTCTTTGAGGGAGGCTCTTCCTGTGAGGCAGGAGGGGCACTGAGTGGCATGCCACAGCAGTGCCCACATGAAGGGTGGTGGCCCAATGGGCCCAGGAAACCCACCTTGTCGGCAGCCTCACGGACAGCACTGGCCGGGGGCTCCTGCAGCTTCTCCGTGTACTTGAGGAGGAGGGAATTGCCCAGGCGAGAACCCAGGAACAGGTACCCGGGCTCCATGGTGACCATCTGAGGGAGGGCAGGTGTGTGATGGCTGGGCCGGGTCTGGACCCAGACCCAACCCCTAGTCCCAACTCACGCTGGTGGTGAGGACGCTGGCGGCCGCCTTGTCAAAGTGGAACGCTCGGACACTGCGCATGCCGTCGGTGATGAGGGTCAGCACGTAGCTGGGGGCAGGGAGAATTCTGAGTCGGGGATGGGGACCCTGGGGGAGTGAAGGGGGCCAGGGGACCCTACAGGACTTGTGGGGGGCGGTGTGGGCAGAGTTCATGGGCGGGGGAGGGGCTCACATCTCGCCGCCCTTGAGGGAGATGACCATCTTGTCGTAGGAGATGAAGGTGGCCTGGGCGCAGTCCAGGGTGATCCGCACACCCTCCTGGGTGCCTGTGGGGTGGGTGGTCAGGCCGACTAGGCAGGCCCAAGCCGTCCCCGGGCCCCCCCCGCCCCAGCCACCCCACACTCACGAAGCGGGAAAGCCGTGGTTCCTGTGGTGAGGCTGTTGAGAGCCACGCCATACGGGGGGACGCTCTGGTTCAGGTACAACAGCGAGTTGACGGCAAACACCACCACCCCACCTGGAGGTGGACACAGGCTGGTGGGCAGGCTCAGTGCTCTCTCCACACACTCCCCTATCCACTCCCAGGACACACACCTATGGGCTTGGGCACAGCCAGAGCCTGGGTGCAGTCAAAGGGCAGGCTGGTGAGGGACCAGATGACGGGGTGCACCTTCTGCGTGATGTTCAGTGAGATGGCCACAATGGAGCACGTGTCCTGCCGCACGGCCACGCGCCTGGGGACGCCAGTGGGTCAGCCAAGGGCCTTGCCTCCCCGCAGAGACCCAGGCCCAGCTCCTCCCGAGCAAGCCCCACCACACCCCATAGGCCCCGCCCTAAACCCCATGGGCCCCACCCCAGGCAGAGGCAGCTAGGGGGCCCACAGTGCAGAGGGGCCTCCTTAGGGGGCTCACCCAGGCCAGGTCTGGTTGGGCTCAAACAGGATGAGGAGGGTAGGCTCGTAGTAGCCATGCAGGAACTGCAGGTCGATGATGTTGAGCAGCTTCTCGTCTAGGGCCCGCACGTCGATGATGTAGCTGGGCAGGAAGCTGGACCTCTGCCTGGGGGGCCAGGGGCTTCAGCAGGAGAGGAGGGGAGGCGGGGAGGGGAGCTCGGGCTCTGGCGCCTCCCACCCCAGCACCACAGCCTGCCTCAGCTGGCACTCACCCCTCACCCACGAGCCCCTCGTGCTCCTCAGCCAGGCTCTCCCTGCGGAAGGGCAGGACCACCAGCCGCGTGCCGTAGACAAGCATGGCTGCACAGCGCCCGTCGGGGTCCACCCGCACTCGCGGCGTGTGTACATTCTGCACAAACCCGTCCTGGGGGCAGAGGGGGCATCAGCCAGGCCCAGCATAGGAGACCCCGAGGGAAACACTTGGGGCCACAGAACCCAGCTGCAGGGGGAGGGAGGGTGGCTGGGCGGGGCCTGGGCGGGGGCGGGAGCGCGGCCCTACCCGAAGCTCAGGCTCCTCAAAGTAGTGCAGTGACAGGGTCTTCAGGTCATGGGTGCCCGGGTCGTACTCCACCACAGACAGCTGCGGTCAGAGGGCACAGCCGTGGCTGCCGACTGCCGGTCCTGACAGTGTCGCCCCCGGCAACCAACGGCTGTACCCAGGCCCTGGCACCCACTCCCACGCCTTGGCCAGGCCTACCCCACCAAGCCTACCACTCACCTTGGCATCCTTGAAGCTTAGGAGCAGGGCATCCCGCTTGGCTCCTGCCAGCTGCACGCTGGCCATGGACATGACGTTGCCAAAGAAGGAGAAGGAGGCAGCAAGCTCGAGCTTCTCCCGGTGGGCCTTCCCCTCTAGGGGAGACACCAGGGCTCAGGGTCAGGGCCCAGCCATGCCTGGCACCCGCACAGCCCCAGGCCGCCCCACCACACTCACCTGTGCTCCTGTCATTCTTGGTCAGAGCCTGGAGGGGAGAGAAAGACAGGGCAGTGAGGGGCCACATCTGGCAGCTCACCTCATCCGGGGAACGAGAAAAGACCACCAAGCCTGGCCCCTGCCTCCTGGGAGCTCTGCCCAAACCCTCTCTGCAGCAGGGAGAAGGGCTTCTGGAGACAGCTGTGCACAGCCCCCCACAGCGACCCCCATTCACGCTCTCATGCCCACGGCCCAGCCCTGGCACAGGCCCCTCCCCAGGAAGCCCCTACCTCACGGCTCCCTAGCAGCCAGGCCCTGTGCGGCAAGCACTCAGGGTTAGAGTGCACTCTGTGTCTGCACACCCCCAAACCTGCCTGGTTGCACACCTACAGCAGCCCAGCCCCGGCCCCTGGGTCCAAATGTCACAGGGCAGGAAGCCAGAGCCAAGGGGTATCTGTAGCTACTGATCTGCGTGCCTGTTAGAGAAGAGGAAGCCCTGCGCTATCCTGACGCCTCGGGCTCCCCCAGGCTGCCTCTCTATCTCCTCCCTTTTCACTGCCCTCCCAGAATGATAAGAGGCTGTGTGTTCTTTGCTACTAGGTAGCTAGTTTAACTAGCTAGCAGATTTATATGCCATTGCCTCAAGGCAAGGGAAAAGTGGTTTTTGTTTTGTTTTTTTTTGTTTTTTGTTTTTTGTTTTTGAGACGGAGTCTCACTCTGTCACCCAGGCTGAAGTGCAGTGGCGTGATCTTGGCTCACTGCAACCTCTGCCTCCCGGGTTCAAGTGATTCTGCCTCAGCCTCCCAAGTAGCTGGGATTACAGGTGCGTGCCACCATGTCCGGCTAATTTTTGTATTTTTAGTAGAGACAGGGTTTCACCATGTTGGCCAGGCTGGTCTCGAACTCCTGACCTCAGGTGATCCGCCCACCTTAGCCTCCCAAAGTGCTGGGATTACAGGCGTGAGCCACCTCAAGGTCATTTTTCACGATGGACTTGTGCTATGGGGAGGGCATCTTGGAAGCTGGTTAAGAGATACAGAAGAAGCATCCACAAACCAATACCCATCTCACAGCGACAAGGGCAACTCCAGGGCTTCACCCGCAAATTCTACCAAAGGTTTCAGAAGTAATGACACACTTAAAAAAAAAACACACACCCACTCATGTGGGGCTGACGGCACCGCAGGTGGCTCAGGCCACCCCAACAGCCCACAGACAGGTGGGACAGGAAGTGACACCAACCTCCTCAAAACGCCTGCAGATGAGCCCAGTGACAAGCAGGGGTATTGTAACACAACTGGGTTGAGTTATTCCAGGAACGCAAAACTAGATTTCCGCAAGAACAGCCATCGCTAAACTTACCATGCTGTCAAAATTAAGGAGAAAAATCATGTCATTTTAGTGGATACAAAAAAAGCATCTGATAAAGGCATTCGTGATAAAAACTCCTAGTAAAGCAAAAATAGGAGGAAAATTTTTTTTTTTTTTTTGAGATGGAGTCTCACTTTGTTGCCCAGGCTGGAGTGCAATGGTGTGATTTTGGCTCACTGCAACCTCTGCCTTCCAGGTTCAAGCGATTCTCCTGTCTCAGCCTCCTCAGTAGCTGGGATTATAGGCGCCCACCACCACGTCCAGCTAATTTTTGTATTTTTAGTACAGACAGGGTTTTGCCATGGCCAGGCTGGTCTTCAACCCCTGACCTCAAGCGATACACTCACCTCGGCCTCTCAAAGCGCTGGGATTACAGGCATGAGCCACCACGCCAGGCCTTTGTTTTTTGACATAGGGCCTCACTGTCTCCCAGGTTGGAGTGCAGAGGAGCAATCATGTTTCACTGCAGCCTCGACCTCCTGGGCTTAGGTGATCCTCCCACCTCAGCCTCCTGAGTAGCTGGGACCACATGTGAGTCACCACACCTGACTAATTTATTTATTTTTTTAAATTTTGAGACAGAGTCTCACTCTGTCACCCAGGCTGGAGGGCAGTAGTGTGATCTCAGCTCCCTGCAACCTCTGCCTCCTGGGTTCAAGCAATTCTCCTGCCTCAGCCTCCCAAGTAGCTGGGATTACAGGCATGTGCTACCATGCCCGGCTATTTTTGTATTTTTAATAGATAGGGTTTTGCCATGTTGGCCAGGATGGTCTCGAACCCCTGACCTCAGGTGATCCACCCACCTTGGCCTCCCAAAGTGCAAGGATTATAGACATGAGCCACCGCGCCCAACTTCCTTAATCAAATAAAGGGTATCTACAAAAAGTCTACAGCAATGTGGTGCTGGGAGTGAAACATTACAAGTTTTCCCTTTTGAGGCCGGGCACAGTGGCTCACGCCTGTAATCCCAGCACTTTGGGAGGCCGAGGTGGGTGGATCACCTGAGGTAAGGAGTTCGAGACCAGTCTAGCCAACATGGTGACATAGTGAAATCCCGTCTCTACTAAAAATACAAAAATTAGCTGGGTGTGGTGGCAGGTGCCTGTAGTCCCAGCTACTCAGGAGGCTAAGGCAGGAGAATCGCTTGAATCCGGGAGGCGGAGGTTGCAGTGAGCCAAGATCATGCCATTGCACTCCAGCCTGGGGGACAAGAGAGAGACTTGGTCTCAAAAAAACAAACAAAAAAAGAAGTTTTCCCTCTTGGTCAGGACCAGCCAAGGACGCCTGATCCACTCTGCCAAGTATAAGGTCAATATACAGAGATCAACTGCACTTCTGTGTACATGCAAGAAACAGGGGTAACCACTCAGAAGAATTTTTTTTTTTTTTGAGACGGAGTCTTGCTCTGTCGCCAGGCTAGAGTGCAGTGGCACAATCTTGGCTTACTGCAAGCTCTGCCTCCCAGGTTCAAGCCATTCTCCTGCCTCAGCTTACCGAGTAGCTGGGACTACAAGCGCCCACCACCACGCCTAATTTTTTTTTTTTTTGTATTTTAGTAGACTCGGGGTTTCACCATCTTGGACAGGCTGGTCTTGAACTCCTGAGCTCAGGCAATCCACCCACCTCGGCCTGCCAAAGTGCTGGGATTACAGGCGTGAGCCACTGCGCCCGGCCACCACTCAGAAGGATTTTAAGAAAAATGTGTACATAGTCAAATGGTCTAACTGGCATGTTGGGGGAAAGGGGACAGAATCAATAGCTAAAGAAATAGCGACCAAAGGCTGGGCGTGGTGGCTCACGCCTGTAATCCCAGCACTTTGGGAGGCTGAGGCAAGCGGATCACGGGGTCAGGCGATCGAGACCATCCTGGCTAACACGGTGAAACCCCGTCTCTACTAAAAATACAAAAACATTAGTCGGGCGCCTGTAGTCCCAGCTACTCAGGAGGCTGAGGCAGGGGAATCGCTTGAACCCAGGAGGTGGAGCTTGCAGTGAGCCGAGATTGTGCCACTGCACTCCAGCCTGGGTGATAGAGCGAGACTCCGTCTAAAAAAAAAAAGAGAAAGAAAGAAAGAAAAAAAAACCTTGAAAATCTGAATAAGAGGACGTTTACAGGGTTTCAAAATAAGTCCCTACAAGATACTTTTAGTTACAAAAGGAAGAAATAACCTTACAGTGGGGGAATCCAGGCCAACACTACCCAACCAAGCATCAAAGCATCAGCATCCAGTCATGAGGCAAAGGCCTCCGCCGCCTCCTGAAAGCTGATGGGGCTGCTGTTTGCCTCTTCTGTGGTGTTCCTGTCAAAAATACAAATGTCTCATCTAAACACCTGGGAATGTCTTGGCCGGGCTCCGTGGCTCACACCTGTAATCCCAGCACTTTGGAAGGCCAAGGCGGGTGGATCACTTGAGGTCAGGAGTTCGAGACCAGCCTGGCCAACATGGTGAAACCCCATCTCTACCAAAAATACAAAAAATTAGCTGGGTGTGGTGGCAGGCGCCTGTAATCCCAGCTACTCGGGAGGTTGAGGCAGGAGAACTGCTTGAACCCGGGAGGCAGAGGTTGCAGTGAGCTGAGATCGCACTGTTGCACTCTATCCTGGGTGACAGAGGGAGACTCTCTCTCAAAAAAGAAAAAAAAAAGACAGCTGTATGAAAGGTGGCTGTCTCCCTCCCTCTCCAGGTGAATCTGGGCTGGAGGCTGCCTTTAGGGCAGACTGTGGTGGCAGGGACGGTGCCCTCCTGGTCTAGCCCTTAAAGTGACTGGCAGCTTCTGCCTTAGCCTCCTAGGGCTCTGAGTTCCTGCAAGAAGCTCAACTACACCAACACCACCATGCTGCCAGGAAAACCAAGCTAGCCATGCTGGGGACAGGGGAGAGTGGAGGGACGGTGTGGGGGTAGGGGAAGACACATCTAGCCTGTCCCCAGCTCTTCAAGTCATCCCTGTCAAGGCTTGCCCTGGTGGAGGAGAGCCAAGGGCTCCCCACACTCTGATGAATCCCTGAAAACCTGGCTTCCAGGTCTGCGATTATGATAAAAGACCTCGTTTGCATATTCCAGGGCAGTTAGTTACAGAGCCACGACTAGACTGACCCCAGGAGGATGGCTTGAGCACAGGAGTTCGAGGCCAGCCTGGACAACATAGCAAGACCCCGTTTCTTAAAAACAAAAAACAAAACAGAAGAAGAAAACCTCTTTTCCTGCTATTTATGGCTCCATTTCTTGCTTCAGTTTACGCACATCTCCTCCAGAGTTGTCTGTGTTCACTGTTACTGACTCTCCTCCCCTGCTGGGCTCTTACCCCTGCTCCATTCAGACCACAACCCCTCGTGCCCACCAGACTGCCCTGTCAGTCACCAGGCATCACCTGAGGCTCAACAGCGTGGGACCCAGTGTCGAGTCCCTCCCAGCTGCCTTCCCTGGGCCTCCAGGGCCCTGTCCAGCTTTCCCCCTGCCTTCCAGGCCATGCCACCTCCAGCTCTTTCATGGCCTCTCATCTCCCCAATCTCTCAATGTTGGGGTGCCCCAAGACCCTGTCTTTGTCTATATTCTGGGTGATCTCAACCAGTTTCCAAGGGCAGACACCAACCCCAGGCTGAAGACTCTGACTTGACCTCCATACCAGACCTCAATCCTCAATTCTAGACTCTTGCACACACCCTCCTGCTCTGCACTGCTGCCTGATGTGGAATGAGCACCTCGGCCAACCTACGGTGGCCAGCGTCCAAGGCAGCACAACGCTTCCTGCTCTGCACTGCTACCTGATGTGGAATGAGCACCTCAGCCAATCTACGGTGGCCAGCATCCAAGGCAGCACAATGTCCTCTGCAGTGAATGCTGGGAGGTGTTGCACCCTCCGCAACCCCCACCAGGGTTGGTAGATATGACCAGCAGAATATGACAGAAGGTTAACAGTGTATTACTACTACTTTTTTTTTTTAGATGGAGTTTTGCTCTGTCACCCAGGCTGGAGTGGAGTGCAATCTCGGCTCACTGCAACCTCCGCCTACGGGTTCAAGCAATTCTCCTGCCTCAGCCTCCTGAGTAGCTGGGATTACAGATGCCTGCCACCACACCCAGCTAATTTTTGTATTTTTAGTAGACACAGGGTTTTGCCACGTTGGCCAGACTGGTCTCGAACCCATGACCTCAGGTGATCTACTACCTGCCTCGGCCTCCCAAAGCGCTAAGATGATAGGTGTGAGCCAACGTGCCTGGCCTTTTTTTTTTTTTTTTGAGATAGGGTCTCACTCTGTTGTCCAGGCTGGAGTGTAATGGTGCAATTATAGCTCACTGCAGCCTTGACCTCCTGGGCTTGAGCGATCCTCCCACCCTGGCCTCCCATGTAGCTAGGACTACACACAGGCCACTATGCCCAGCTAACTTTTATATTTTATATTTGGGCCAAGCACAGTGGTGCACTCCTGTAATCCCAGCACTTTGGAAGGCCAAGGTGAGTGGACTGCCTGAGCTCAGGAGTTTGAGACCAGCCTGGCCAATGTGGCGAAACCCTGTCTCTATTAAAAATACAAAAAAAAAATTAGCCGGGCGTGGTGTCACACACCTGTAATCCCAGCTACTTGGTGGAGGGTTTAGGGAGCTGAGGCACAAGAATTGCCTGAACCCACGAGGCGGAGGTTAAAGTTAGCTGAGATCACACCACTTCATTCCAGCCTGAGTGACACAGCAAGACTCCGTCTCACCAGGAAAAACAAAAAAAAAAATTATTTGTAGAGATGGGGTCTTGCTATGTTGCTCAGGCCAGTCCTGAACTCCTGGCCTCAAGCAGTCATCCCACTTCAGCCTCCCAAAGTGTGGGACTATAGGTGTGAGCCAGTGCACCCAGCCTGAGATTCGGTTACAGGACTCGCCGTGGCTTCAGTCTTGGTGGGTGTCTCATTGTGAGGGAGGCTGCCATGTTGTGAGCTGCCCCAGGGAGGGGCCCATGTGGTGAGGAACTGCGGCCTCCTGCCAATAGTGTGTTAGGAGCAGAAACTCCAGCCCTCGTCAAGCCTTCAGAGGACAGGAGCCCTGGCCAGCAAATACATATGTATGCCGGGGTAGGTGCCCAGGAGGGTTGGCCTCCTTTGGCCTGAGCTTCTGACCCATCTGCCTGCTGGGTCAGCCCCTATTCACAACCCTCTTGTGGCTCCTCCCTGCTTTGTGGAGAATAGTCCTGACCACGGCCTACCTCCCTCCATCCCCACCACCACATCCAGTCTATACCACGGCCACACTGTGCATGTCTCTCCACCCTCAACTGCTTTGGGCCTGTGCACAGGCTGTTTCTTCTGCCTGGAACACCCTCCTCTCACCATCCCTGGGCCTGGGTAAGAGGTACTCCTCCCTTCAAGAGCAATGGAGAAACTGCCTCTTGCAAGTTGCTTTCCTGGACCAGCTTTCAACCCTCCGGCAACCAAAACACCACTGTATTTCCCAAACCCTTGAGGCGTGTGCCCCACTGTACCAAGACTCCTGTCAACAGTCTGTCCCCATCCTAGACCTGGCCTTGTTCCTTGTGCTACCAATGTCCTTCCCCCGACAAACTCCCGCTCTGCCTCAGACAGGCTCTTCTGATCATGCGACTGGAAATACACAGTCTCCTTCCTTCACTCCTTTATTCCCGCAGCAGCACTTGCTGCAGGGGCAGGTGTGTTTATTTAGATGTTCCCCTTCCCCAAGTGTCTGCAGGTGTGGTTCACATGGTATCTCTGCTACCCAGCGCACAGTGGGCGTTCGCTCCTTCCGAACAACTTGCTGAAAAAACGGAAGAGCAAACAAGACGGCTAGGGCAGCGCGCCCTTCCCGGTGGGGTAGGAAGGGAGGCAGAACAGGGTAGCAGCTGTGAGAAAGGATCTGAGCACAAGAGATTCAGGGTCATGTCCTGGCTCCTCAGGCTGAGGAACGTTAAGCAAATCACTCAACTTGTCTGGGGCTTGGCTCTTCCATCTGCAACCGGGGGCGGTGAGAGCACCCACGTCGCGGACAGCCGGGAGGGCTCCCAGGGCCCGACCTACCTCGGCGTCGCGGTTGAGGCGGTACACGTAGAGCTGCGAGGTCCCGGCCACTACCAGGTTGCGCTCGCTGTTGTTGAAGAAGTTGCAGTACATGGAGAACTCCAGACCGGTGGGCGGATGCGCCTGTTTGTACACGGCGTACATGGCGCCAACCCGGGCTGCGCAAGGCCGGGAGAGGAAGGGTGAGCGGGGTCGCCCACGCAGGAGCCCGGCCCCGCACCGCGCCCCTCCCCGGCCTCGCGCTGCCGCCTCGGCCGCCCGCCCGGCCGCCCACCTGGCAGTTGGAGCCGACTCGAGAGGAACCGGGACAGCAGCGAACTCAGTCCGGCCGGGCCCAGAAGCTGGGCGGGAAGGTTCCGGGCTTCTGCGCCTGCGCAGCGCCGCCGCGTGAGCGTGGCTGCAGGGGCGACAGCGGGCCCTAGTGGCCCGGGATGCGGGCGGCTGGCGGCTCGGCTCCGGGCTGGGCGTCCGGAACCCAAACCCCTAGCGCGCGAAGTGCGGGGCCTCCGCTGCGGGCGGAGCAGCGCGGGTTGGAAGCCGCAGGGGCGCCGGCTGCAGCGGCTCGGGGTCGGCCGGGGGGTGCGTCCGCGCCAGACCCAGGACGGCTGCAGGGAGAAGCGACTCCGCTCGTAGCTCCCGGGTTCAGGGGGCGCGCCGGAATCCAGAAGAGGGGGCGCGGCGCCTCGCCAGTGTCTGGGGCTCCGAGAAAGCTTCCTAGAGAGGCCGCACGCCCCCTCTGCCCAGTGTCCCCGCGCAGAGCGACCCCCGCCGCCAACACTCCCGCGGAGGACGCAGGACCCCGCGAGCCCAGCGCTGTCCGCCCGCCTTGCTCACTGCTGCCTACCCAGGGCGGGCCCAGTGCCAGCTTCCGGGAGCTTGGATCCTGGATCAGGCACGGGCCTAGGACCTAGAAACGGAATCATGAGAAATAAAACAAGAAAGTATCGTTACGCCCAAGAAAATGGCGTGGAAATATGTGTTTTTGTTGCATCCAAATCTACTTGCTCATTGGGCAGTGGGGGAAGGGCCACTTGGATGCTCAGGCGTGTGACCCCTGAGCCACACTCAACCGCCTTTTAAAAGTCAATAGGAGGCGGTGGCTCACGCCTGTAATCCCACTTTGGAAGGCCGAGGTGGGCGGATCACCTGAGGTCAGGAGTTCGAGACCAGCCTGGCCAACATGGTGAAACCCAGTCTCTACTAAAAATACAAAAACTGTGGGGGAAAGAGAGAGAGATCAGATTGTTACTGTGTCTATGTAGAAAAGGAAGACATAAGAAACTCCATTTTGATCTGTACTAAGAAAAATTGTTTTTGCTTTGAGATGCTGTTAACCTGTAACTTTAGCCCCAACCCTGTGCTCACAGAAACATGTGCTGTAATGAATCAAAGTTTAATGGATTTAGGGCTATGCAGGATGTGCCTTGTTAATATGTTTGTAGGCAGTATGCTTGGTAAAAGTTATCGCCATTCTTCATTCTCGATTAACCAGGGACACAATGCACTGCGGGAAGCCGCAGGGACCTCTGCCCAAGAAAGCCTGGGAATTGTCCAAGGTTTCCCCCCACTGAGACAGCCTGAGATATGGCCTCATGGGAAAGGAAAGACCTTACCGTCCCCCAGCCCAACACCTATAAAGGGTCTGTGCTGAGGAGTCGTAAAGAGGGAGGCCTCTTTGCAGTTGAGATAAGAGGAAGCCTTCTGTCTCCTGCTCGTCTTTGGGAATGGAATGTCTCATTGTAAAGCCAACCATTCCCTTTTGTTCTATTCTGAGATAGGAGAAAACTGCCTGGAAGCAAGAATGCTGGCAGCAATACTGCTCTGTTACTCTTTCCTACACTGAGATGTTTGGGTAAAGAGAAACATAAATCTAGCGCTGCTGCTCTGTTACTCTTTGCTACAATGACATGTTTGGGTAAAGAGAAACATAAATTTAGCCTACGTGCACATCCGGGCACAGTACCTTTCCTTGAACTTATTCATGATACAGATTCCTTTGCTCACATGTTTCCGCGCTGACCTTCTCCCCACTTGTTGCCCTGCTACACTCCCCTCGCTAAGATGGTAAAAATAATGATCAATACTGTGGGAACTCAGAGGCCGGTGCTGATGCAGGTCCTCCGTATGCTGGGTCCTCTGGGCCCACTGTTCTTTCCCTATACTTCGTCTGTGTGTCTTCTTTTCTCAGTCTCTCGTCCCACCTGATGAGAAATACTCACACGTGTGGAGGGGCTGGCTCCCTTCAAAAATTAGCCAGGGTGGTGGCGCATGCCTGTAATCCCAGCTACTCAGGAGACTGAGGCAGGAGAATCACTTGAACCCAGGAGGCAGAGGTTGCAGTGAGCCAAGATGGCGTCATTGCACTCCAGCCTGAGTGACAAGAGTCACATACAATAAAAATAATCAGAAGAGACAGAAACACAAGAAAGAAGGTCATGTGGGCCAGGCGCAATGGCTCACACCTGTAATCCTAGCACTTTGGGAGATCGAGGTGGGTGGATTACCTGAGGTCAGGAGATCGAGACCAGCCTGGCCAACATGGTGAAACCCCGTCCTACTAAAAATATAAAAATTAACTGGGCGTGGTGGCGGGTGCCTGTAATCCCAGCTACTCGGGAGGCTGATGCAGAATTGCTTGAACCTGGGAGGCAGAGGTTGCAGTGAGCCGAGATGGTGCCACTGTACTCCAGCCGGGGCGACAGAGTGAAGCTCTGTCTCAAAAGAAGAAAGAAAAGAAAAGGGGAGGGGATGGGAGGGAAGGTCATGTGAAGACAAAGGCAGGGATTGGAGTCATACTGCCCACAAACCAAGGAACACCTGGGGCCACCAGTAGCCAGGAAAGGCTCATGGAACAGACTGTTTCCTAGAGACTTCAGAGAGAGCATTGCTCTCCTGACACTTTGATTCCTAACTTTCAGCCTCCAGAACTGTGAGAATAAGTTTCTGGTTTTAAGGCACTCAGTTTATGGTAGGCTTTGTTAAGGTAGCCCTAGGAGGCCACCACACAGGCACTCAGGATTAACGCCTCAGAGTCAGAAGAGGCTGGCGTCCCAGGAACCGTGGGCTGCCACACACTCTGGTCTGACGATCTCCAGGTTTGCTTTCCATGACAGAGAAATAAGCCCTCGGCTGTGTAAGCAGTTATAGGTAAGCAAGTTTGATTCCTGTTTGGGGACAGGTCCCACCTGCTGCCCACACACCCGGGTGAATTTCCCTGACCCCACTCCTCAGGCAGGCAGGGTCTCCATATCAAAGAGGGGGCACCTGAGGCTGGCTGCCTGGGGGTCCTGAGTGCAGCTCTCCTGGCTTCGAGGCACCCCGATGGGGAGAAGGCAGTGCCGCAATTGTCCTTTCTCAGCTGAGGGCCCTTCCCACCCAGCAAGGAGAGCACAGCCATGCTCCAAGGACAAGAGTGTCTTTACTGGAGTTGGGACTGGGGCCTCTATAGGGGCTTCTGGTTTCTGGGCTGTAGGTTTGTGAGGTGTGGGATCTTAAGTCAAAGGTGGGGGACTAGGGCAGGGTATCAGAAGGTGATGTCATCCTCGTACAGGGACAGCAGCAGCAGGACGGTCCAGCCGCCCAGCAGGCCCACGTTGTGCAGCAGGAAGAGGAGCCAGGGCCGCGGGTCCCGTACTTTCAACATCGCCGGGAGCTGAGGAGCAAGTGGGCACCGGGTCAGCGCCCCTGCTCAGCTCCTCTGCTCAGCTCCCGGCCCAGAGCAGCCCCTCCCCTCGCCATCCTGACCATGTCGCAGAGTGCTACGTAGAGGAACAGGCCGGTGGCCACTGCCAGGATCCAGGCCTCGCTCTCCTCGCTGACTCCAACCGCGAGTGCCACGTAGAGACCAGCGAAGGCCGTGAGCGCGGAGGCCAGGTTCAGCAGCAGTGCTTGGCGCACGGACAGCCCCGCGTGCAGCAAGGCGGCGAAGTCCCCTGCGGGCGAGTCCACATTAACAGCTCCGCCCTCCTAGCTACATGCCCCGCCCACCTCCTTTCGGTCCCGCCCTCTTACCACCAGGCCCCGCCCACCTGTTCCCGGTCTCCCCGCCCAGCCGTCAGATCCCGCCCATCACCTTCCAGGCCCCGCCCCACCTGTTTCCGGTCTCCCCACCCAGCCAGGTGCGGCCCCGCCCATCTTCCAGGCCCCGCCCACCTGTTCCAGGTCTCCCCGCCCAGCCCCGTGCGGCCCCGCCCATCTCCTTCCAGGCCCCGCCTGCGCTCACCCAGCTCGTGTGGCAACTCGTGGCAGAACACGGCCAGCGAGGTGGCCAGCCCGGTCTTCCAGGAGGACGCGAAGGCGGCGCCCACGGCCAGCCCGTCGGCGAAGTTGTGCACGGCGTCGCCCAGAGTGATCATATAGGGCAGTAGCCTCAACTCTGCGGGCGCAGAGGCCCGTGGGTTCGCGTGGCCTGTCGCCTACCGCCAAGCCTTGGGCCCCACCCGCGCTCCACACAAACCCCAGATCCCCCAGCCCTTCCGGGGTCGCCCCCTGGGCTCACCTGGGCTCAGTCTCCTGGGCTCAGGGTTCAGCAGCTCCGGGCTCTCCTCCGCCACCTGGGAGGAGCCTTGAGTAAGTCCCGCCCGGAAGTGGAGGAGGAACGCGGTGGGGCGGGGCGGGGCCCCAGATCACCGCGGGAGGCGGAGCCGCAGGCCTGGGGTGGGGCTGGGAGTGTGGGCGTGGGAAGGGGTCGGTGGGAGGGGCTCCGCGCGGGATGGGGCATCTGGCGCCCACTCACCAGGTCTGCGCGGGAGCCCTCGTGGGGGGGCTTGGGCTGCCGGAGCTCGCTGGGTGCCAGCTGCAGGGACACACCGTGGCTGTGGCCCCCGTGGCTATGGCTGCTGTGGCCGCAGGGCCCGTCCTCCAGGTCCTGTGAGGGTAGGTGCTCAGTGTCCACCAGGCCCCCAGCACACCCACCCGCCGGGTACCTTCCCAAGAAGCCTGACCTCCGGGTCCCTGGGCAGCAGGAGATTGAAGAGGTTCTCAAACAGGAAGAAGGCGTAGAGCCCGGCCAGCATAGCCAGGAGGCGCCAGGTGGGCTGTGGGCTGAGGCCCTCTTCGCTGTGTGTATGCAGCCCCAGCACCTGGGGAGTAGGGGCGCTGGGCTGGGGGGGAGGTCCCAGGGTGCCTCCCACCAAGACCCAGGGAGAGGGGTCAGGAGGTGGGGTGGGTAAGGTCCCTGGGAGGGCATGGCCTGGGAGTCCATGGTGGGGAACGGAGGGCCAGGGTCGCGGGTTTGTGGGGGCAGACCTTGGGCGTCAGATGCAGGACAGCGTCCCCAGTGAGTGCACCCACTGCCAGGCTCAGGAAGGTCTGCAGGATGTAGTGGGTGACCCCCCTGCAGCCAGTGCAGGTCAGCAGCAGGAGGCCAAAGACCGCGCAGAGGCAGATGAGCAGCGTGGCCAGGGAGCCGTACAGATACCCTGGGGGCGGGTGAGGCGGCTGTGAGAGCTTTTCTTCCAGACTCAGCCCCTGCTTCCCGGGCGCTGCTCACCAGAGCTGCAGGCCGTCAGTGTGGGCCAGGCCCTCACTCAGGCTGACCCTCCTGCCTCAAAGCCCCACTCTCCTGGCGACGCCACCTTCCCCTGTGTCTGTTGTTTCTACTTCCAGCCCCTGCTCACTCTCTCCATCCCTCATCCTGGGCAGCCACTCCTTCCTTCCTACACGGGCTCCACCTCTGTGCTGCCAGCACAATGTCGGCGTGGGCACTCACTCTCTGACTGGCTGAGCTGGTCCTGGACGGGGGGCCTGGACTGGGAGGTGCAGGCTCCACTCAGCTGCTGTTGGAGCAGGGCAGGGCTCAGTTGGGCCCAGGCCTCCGGGGTCACCCCAGCCTGTTCCGACAGTCCATATGCAGCCATCACGTCCCTGGCACTCAGGCATACCTGGGGGGTGGCAGGACAGGCTCAGGGGCCCAAGCAGACCCCGGTGAGGCCCCATCTTACCCCAGGGCGCAGCTCACCGTGTCCCACACACTGGAGCTGTTGCTGGAGCTGATGAGGGGCACAGGGTCCCAGCTGCTGGCTCCCCTGTGCCGATGACTGTGGTCACTGTGGGCCTCCCTGCCCACCCCCAGGCGCTGCATCAAGGCTGACAGCTCTGGCAGGGAGAAGAGTTGGCACCGCGAGTCTGTGTGGGCTCCGGCCCTGCCCCCCAGGGACGTGGAGGCTGGGGACTCGGGGGTGCCCCCCTCCACAGCCCAGCCCAGGCCTCACCGGCCAGCGTCATAGGGACCTCGCTGCTGTGCTGCTGGAACACAAAGTCCACGAAGTACTGAGGGCTCGGCAAGGCGTGGAAGCAAGACCCGCTCCTGACATGGTCCAGCAGGGCAGCCAGGACGCCGCCAGCACTGCCCGGAGCCCCCGCCCCCACCGCCTCCTCCAGCAGCTGAGGGATATCTACGCAGGCCTGGGGAAGAGGGGGCCTCCGCCTCAGCCTTTGGTGTGACCTTCTGCCATCCACCCCGCTGCCCCTGGATGCATCTCCCACCCCAACTACAGGATCTGCCCCCACCAGCCCCGCCCCTCCCTGGAGCCACAGCCCTCCCTGCCGGGCCCAGCTGCTTCAGGCTCCCACTCAGGCCTCTGGGTTCCTCCCTCATGAGGTCCCTCCCGGGGCTCCTACAGGCTCCCAACTGCCCAGTAGTGAGCCCCACGTTGTGAATCCCCAGCCGCAGGCCGACTCCTGGGCGTCTCCCCAGGCCCCCAGGCTCCCCGAAGGCTTTGCAGCCAGGCCGGGTCCCATGGGCCGTGGGACCCTCCTCACCCACTCCCCTGGTCTGCCTGGACTCTCCCTCACCGTCTTGGGGGTCTGGCCGGCAGCCCGGGCCTGCATCCTCTGCAGCAGCCAGCTCAGGCCCGGGGTCAGGGCCTTGGGGCTCTCGAGCAGGGCCAGGAGGTGGTCTGCATGAGAGGCCCAGAGGCCAGCCCGAGCGTCCTCACAGGTGCCCTCGGGGTTGCTGAGGTACAGGACGGCGGCGGCACTGAGGCGGGCGACGTACCTGGCCTCCAGGACCGGGCCCGGGGGCAGCCCTGACCCCTCAGGCTCGCCCAGGCCCAGGGCGTCCTCCACAGACAGGCACTGTGGGCAGAGACAAGTGAGCAGGGGCGCTGGGCCCACCAGGGAGGGGAGAGGCAGGCCTGGCCAGGGGCTTCCCCGAGGGCCTGTTTCCCTTTCAAGTCCAACAACGTCCACCATCCTCTCTCAACCCCTGGCGCCCTTCCGTCTCCCCAGGCCCCTGTCCTGCTTCCCCAACTACAGGGGTGCACGCAGAGGGGTCCCCAACAGTGGTCCCCCATCCCCAGGGGACTCCCCTGGAGCCACTGCCAATTTGATGGCAGAGGGCCGGCAGGGGGAGTTGGCCCTGGGGTCCTGGGGAGAAGAGGGACTGTGTCCCTGGAAAGGCCTGTCTGCCCTCATGAGCAGGAGGGTGGGCTCTGGCCTGTGGGGAGGGTCAGGGTGCCCAGGTACTGCCACTAGCCTCCTCCGCCTCCTGGAGTTTGCCCAGGGCCCTTTGCTGCCGGCTGGCAGGGCGGAGCTGGCGGGAAGAGGCCAGGGCTGGGGGACCCGTCGGGTGGGGCTGTTACCTTTCCACACGGCCCGTTGGCGCAGTGCACACGGTCCGCCAGCGTATTTAACAGGCCGCCCAGAGCCTCTTGATCCAGAGCGCCCTGGCCAGAGGTGAGCAGGCTCAGCAGACCAGCAGGCGGGGACGCCGTCGCCGTCACCACCAGCACAGCCAGAAGCAGCCCCAGCTCCAGCGAGACCAGGGACGCCATACTCAGCTCCCAGCGTGCTCAGTGGGTGTTGCTGTGGCCAAGGCCCAGTGCTTCTGGGCTGGCTGAGGGCGGCTTTGCTGGGGTTGTCCAGGGCCAGACTGGGGCTGGGCTAGGACCCGCCCGGGCTGCATGAGGACCTCTCCCAGGTATTCCTGCAGAGCTCTGTGATTGGCTGCTGGAGATGCCTGGGTTAACCATTCCAGTGGCAGATCCTCCCCAACAGCCTGGAGCCACTGCCTGTGGGGGTCGAGGGCTGGGCCCCTTCCCCTGGACAGGCAGCCTCGGTGGTCTTTTTTTTTTCGAGTTGGAGTTTTGCTCTTGCTGCCCAGGCTGGAGTGCAATGGCGTGATCTTGGCTCACGGCAACCTCCGCCTCCCGGGTTCAAGTGCTTCTCCTGCCTCAGCCTCCCGAGTAGCTGGGATTACAGGCAGCGCCACCACGCCCGGTTACTTTTGTATTTTTAGTAGAGACAGTGTTTCTCCATGTTGGTCAGGCTGGTCTTGAACTCCCAACCTCAGGTGATTCGCCCGCCTTGGCCTCCCAAAGTGCTGGGATTACCGGCGTGGCTCACCACGCCAGGCCAGCCTGGGTGGGCTTCTGTCCTCTGCCTGCTGCCCCCCAAGCTGTGGGGCAGGGCTGGGGTGTCCCCTTCTGGCTGTCCATCTGGGGGCTGCCTCCAAGCTGGGGGACACAGGGCAGAGGTGCACAGATGCCCCCAGAGCCTGAGAGCTCCCAGGTCCCTGCCTCTGCCCCTCCCAACAGAGGCTGCCCAGACACCCTCGGTGGCCCCTGTTGGGGGTGGGGACATGGACCTCCCTCCTCCTGGGTCCTGGGCTGTGGTCCCTGTTGGGGACTGCGATGGAGTCAAAGAAACTGAAAAGGTGCCTGCTGCATCATGCTCCCTTAGGCCGGAGACAGCCCCAGGAAGCTCCAACACAGACAAACAGGAAGACGGAGCTGGGCCCTGGCAGCCACCTGGCCGAGCTTGGGTCAGGATAAGATTGGGGCAAGACCCCAGCTCTAGCCCCGGGGGCAGGGAGGCTGTGGCTCCCAGCCCTGCCCTCTCTGTGGGCTCCCTCTCTGGCCTTTGAGCCTAGAGGCCTTATCTCTACCGTGGTGGTGATGGCAGGAAGTCTGGGGGAAGGGGAAGGCAGATCTCAGGGCAGCTTTGCCTTCTGAAGGGGGAGTCCAGATGCCACCTCCCGCCCGGTCCAGCCAGCCTGACCCTGAGCATTGTGGGTGGGGCTGGGGTGGGGAGCTGGGTGCCTGAGGCCCAAGGACTCTGTCCCGCCATACACAGGGTGGGACGGGGCAGGGCGGGCATTGAGCCCAGTGTCCTGGGGTCAGGGTGCTTCCCCTGCCGGCCTCACCCCACCAAGCGGATCTCATGGTGCTCCTCTGGCTGGGCCCACCCGCAGTGGTATCCTTCTGGGGGCCCTTAGGGGAGCCTGCCGGGGGTGCAGATCCTGCCGGGGGTGCAGAGCCTGCTGGGGGTGCAGATGATTTCTGGGTCCCAGGACCATGAGGGGGCTGCTCTACACACAGCCTGAAGATGCTGCGGACCCAAACTGGCCCTTTCCCTCCCACACCACCCCAGGACCAATGGGCTGGCTGGAGGCCACCCATGCTAAAATAGGCTCAAGGGCCTACTTTAGCTTCTGGGCAAAGGTCTTGGCCTGGGCCTGACTCTGTGGCCTTCCTGAGCTGCCTCCCCAGTAGGCCTCAGTGCTGGGCTACAGGCCTCCTCCATTCCCTCCATTCATGTGACCCCACCCCTCCCAGCAGAAACTCTCTTCCGTAGCCCAGGAGCAGCTGTTGAGGGTTTCACCTGCCCATGCCCCAGCCTAAGGCCGGCTTCCCCAGAGCAGACGGGTTGCACTCTCCTGCCCCTCAGGCCCACTCTGTCATCCAACAAGCTCACTGCAACTGGCCCATCTTAAAAACAACACCGGCTGGTCACGCTGGCTCACACCTGTAATCCCAGCGCTGTGGGAGGCCGGGGCGGGGGGATCACTTAAAGTCAGGAGTTTAAGACCAGCCTGGGCAACATGGTGAAACCCGAGCTCCACTAAAAACACAAAAACAAATTAAGGCACCCTGAGTGGTGGTGGGTGCCTGTAGTCCCAGCGACTCGGGAGGCTGAGGCAGAATTGCTTGAGCCCAGGAGGTGGAGGCTGCAGTGAGCCACGATCGCATCACGCACTCCAGCCCGGGCAACCTGGCAAGACCCTGACTCTAAAAAGAAAAAAACAACAAAAAAAAAAAGCCCACGTTCAATGGCAGCACTATTCAAAAGATGGAAGCAACTCAAGTATCCAAACGCGCATGAGTGAACACATCGTGGTTCATCCACAGTGGAACACGATTCAGCCAGAAAAAGGAAGGAAACCGGCCTGCACCGTGACTTGGATGCACCTGGAGGAGACTGTGATGAACGAAAGCAGCCAGACGCAAAAGGGCAAGGACGGTGTGATCTGACTGATGTGAGGACCCCAGCCAGTCAAATTCATGGAGACAGAAAGTAAAAGGGTTTTGGGAGGCCGAGGCGGGCAGATCACCTAAGGTCAGGACTTCGAGACCAGCCTAGCCAACATGGTGAAACCCCATCTCTACTAAAAAATACAAAAATTAGCCAGGCATGGTGGCGGGGTCCCAGCTGCTCAGAAGTCTGAGGCGGGAGAATTGCTTGAACCCCGGAGGCAGAGGTTACAGTGAGCTGAGATCACGCCATTGCACTCTAGCCTAGGCGACAGAGCTAGACTCTGTCTCAAAAATAGTAATAACAAAAAATTTTAAAATAAATAAAAAAAATACAGGCCGGGCACAGTGGCTCATACCTCTAATCCCAGTACTTTGGGAGGCCAAGGCGGGCGGATCACCTGAGGTTGGGAGTATAAGACCAGCCTGGCCAACATGGTGAAAACCTGTCTACTAAAAGGTACAAAACTTAGCTGGGCATAGTGGCAGGAGCCTGTAATCCCAGCTACTCAGGAGGCGAAGGCGGGAGAACTGCTTGAACCCGGAAGGCAGAGGTTGCAGTGAGCCGAGATCGCACCATAGCATTCCAGCCTGGGCAACAGAACGAGACTCTGTCTAAAAAAAAAAACAAAAAATTAAATAAGTTAAAAAAAATACATGCCTGGCACCCAGTGGCTCATGCCTGTAATCCTAGTACTTTGTAGGGCCAAGGCAGGCGGATCACCTGAGGTCGGGAGTTCCAGACCAGCCTGACCAACATGGAGAAACCCCATCTTTACTAAAAATACAAAATTAGCCAGCAGGGCGTGGTGGCTTATGCCTGTAATCCCAGCACTTTGGGAGGCTGAGGCGGGCGGATCACGAGGTCAGGAGATCGAGACCATCCTGGCTAACACGGTGAAACCCCGTCTCTACTAAAAATAAAAATAATTAGCCGGGTGTGGTGGCGGGCGCCTGTAGTCCCAGCTACTCGGGAGGCTGAGGCAGGAGAATGGCGTGAACCCGGGAGGCGAAGCTTGCAGTGAGCCGAGATTGCACCACTGCACTCCAGCCTGGCCAACATAGCAAGACTCCGTCTCAAAAAAAAAAAAAAAATACAAAATTAGCCGGGCGTGGTGGCACATGCCTGTAATCCCAGCTACTCAGGAGGCTGAGGCAGGCGACTCTTGAACCTGGGAGGCGGAGCTTGCAGTGAGCCGAGATTGCACCACTGCACTCCAGCCTGGGCGACAGAACGAGACTCCATCTCAAAAAAAAAAAAAAAAAAATACAAAATTAGCCAGGCATGGTGGCACATGCCTGTAATCCCACCTATTCAGGAGGCTGAGGCAGGCGACTCTTGAACCTGGCAGGTGGACGTTGCAGTGAGCCGAGATCACGCCATTGCACTCCAGCCTGGACAACAAGAGCGAAACTCCGACTCAAACAAACAACAAAATACAAAACTTAAGCCAGGCTGGCGGCATACCCCTGTAGTCCCAGCTATTCGGGAGGCTGAGGCAGGAGAATCACTTGAACCTGGGAGGTTGAGGCTGCAGTGAGCTGAGATCATGCCACTGCACTCCAGCCTGGGCGACAGAGCCAAACTCTCTCTCAAAAAAAAAAAAGAGAAAGAAAAGAAAGAAGGGTGACTGCCAGGGCTGGGAAGGGGAGAATGTGTGTGAGTGTTTAATGGGGATGGAGCTTTACTTTGTTTGGATGGAAAAGTTCTGGAGGTAGACGGTGGTGAGGTTGTACAATAATGTAAATACACTTAATGCCCCTGAACTGTGTACTTAAAATCAGTTAAAATGGCAAAATTTGCTATATTTTATCACAGTAAAAAAAATAAAATAGGCCGGGCACGGTGGTTCACGCCTGTAATCCCAGCATTTTGGGAGGCTGAGGCGGGCGAATCACCTGAGGTCAGGATTTGAGACTAGCGTGGCTAACATGGTGGAACCCCGTGTTTACTAAAGATACAAAAACTAGCCGGCTGGGCGCGGTGGCTCACGCCTGTAATCCCAGTACTTTGGGAGGCGGAGGCCGGCAGATCACGAGGTCAGGAGATCCAGACCATCCTGGCTAACATGGTGAAACCCTGTCTCTACTGAAAATACAAAAAATTAGCTGGGCGTGGTGGCGGGTGCCTGTAGTCCCAGCTACTTGGGAGGCTGAGGCAGGAGAATGGCATGAACCCGGGAGGCAGGGCTTGCAGTGAGCAGGGATGGTGCCACTGCACTCCAGCCTGGGTGGCAGAGAGAGACTCTGTCTCAAAAAAAAAAAAAAAAAATTGGCTGGGCATGGTGTCTCCCGCCTGTAGTCCCAGCTACTCAGGAGGCTGAGGCAAGAGAATTGCTTGAACCCAGGAGGCGGAGATTGCAGTGAGCCGAGATCATGCCATTGCACTCTAGCCTGGGCGAAAGAGGGAGACTCCATCTCAAATAAAAAATTTAAAATTAAAATTAAAAAAAAAAAAAAAAAAACAGGCTGTGTGCGGTGGTTCACACCTGTAATCCCAATACTTTGGGACGCCAAGGCGGCAGATCACCTGAGGTCAGGAGTTGGAGACCAGCCTGACCAACATGGAGAAACCCTGTTTTTACTAAAAATACACAATTAGCTGGGCATGGTGGCAACACATGTAATCCCAGCTACTCAGGAAGGTAAGGCAGGAGAATTGCTTGAACCCTGGAGGCAGAGGTTGCAGTGAGCCGAGATCACACCATTGCACTCTAGCCTAGGTGACAGAGCGAGAGTCCGTCTCAAAAAAAAAAAAACAAAAATTAAATTTAAAAAAATACATGCCTGGCACCCAGTGGCTCACACCTGTAATCCCAGTACTTTGGGAGGCCAAGGCAGGCGGATCACCTGAGGTTGGGAGTTGGAGACCAGCCTGACCAAACATGGAGAAACCCGATCTCTACTAAAAATACAAAATTAGCCGGGAATGGTGGCGTGCCCCTGTAGTCCCAGCTACTCAGGAGGCTGAGACAGGAGAATCACTTGAACCCGGGAGGTGGAGGTCGCAGTGAGCCGAGATCGCGCCATTGCACTTCACCCTGGGCGAGAGAGAGCGACTCCTCAAAAAAAAAAAAAAAGATCAAAATGACCCTTCCTGGCCACCTGCCCCCCTTGACACACACACGTTTCTGGGTGCTGGTCCTCCCTCGAAGCACCCCGTACCCACATGTGCCTGTCAAGGACATCGAGCCCCAGGGCCCGACCCGACAGTGCCCTTCCTCAACTCCCTTGGGTGTCCTGGATCCTGCTGTCCTGGGGGCTCTTCTCTGGCTCCTTGGTCAGTCTCTTCCCACTTCCCATGGCAGTGCCCCTGGCCAGTCCTCCGGCTTCTTGGCGGGACTCAGCCTCCCTCTCCAGCCACTGACATCGTCATCCTGCTTGACGGCCCCCCTTGGCCGTCTGAGAGGCAGTCCCCACTCAGCCTGTGCACAGAGCCCACCTGCCTCCATGATGTCCCAAGCCCCCACGGAAATCCAAGCGACTTGATTTTCACTATCTGCCTTTCTCTACACACCTCATTCCACCGGCTCTAGATGCCACAGATGTCAAGAGGTTCTGGCATTCTCAGTCGCTAAGAGAGAAAAATTCTACAATGACACCCTGGCACGTCCCTTATCCTGAGGGCATAGTTGCTAAGATGTGAAGCACGCGGCTCTTGGAACCCAGAGGTGTGGTGTGTGGTCTGCTGCTTTTCCCTGGGGGCAGCAGCAGGTGTGCAGCACACGCTGTGGAATGGACGGCGTCCACCACCCGCTGCCTCCCCACCAGGCCCAGCCTTGACTCTTGGGCTTTGCCCAGGGGCTTGGGGAGAGGCCCTGGTGGTGGGCATGACAAACTCCCACCCAATGAGTAATTGGCTGGAGCTGCAGATAAGTCAGGAGTCCTGGGCCAGGGTGCAGTCATCCGAGTGGAGAGGTGGGTGTGGAGCAGCTGACAGCATGAAGTGCACCCCGCCTCTGAGCCCAGCCTGGCCTGGTGTGCTGGGACCTGACTGCACTCAGAAGACCTGGTGCTGCCCTGGGCTTCAGTGAGGCGTGGGGAGGGGTGGCAGGCAGCCTCCCCTGTGGCCAGAGTCAAGCCACGCCTGGCCCAGGTGGTAGACCTGTTCTCCAGGCCTCGGGGCTATGGAAACGCCCCTGCCTCCTATTATGTGCCCAGGCAGAGCCCACCAGGGAAGCAGCCGTCACTGAGTGATGCAGGCCATGAGGAATGCAGTGGCAGGGACAGAGCCAGGGCCGGGCCACCACACAGGTCGGGGGAGGGTAGGCGAGAGGGGCTCTATGCTGAGAGTCCCAGGAGGGTGGAGAGAATACACAGGGCAGGCCTGGGGGAGCCACCCAAGCAGGAAGGTCGGAGAGCATCTTTATTGTGGGGAGGGGCCCGGCCCCCAAAGTTCTGACACCAAAGACAGACACCAGACAGGCAGCTGCAGACAGTGAGTTGTGTGGATGACCACGGCCTGTGTGGCGGACAGGGGACCAGGAGCCATCGCCTCAGACTCTGCCCTTCTGTGCAAGGGCTAGTGCCCCGGGCTCAGGCATGCAGGAAGCGGTTGAAGGCGTTGTAGGCTGACTCCAGGTCGAACAGCATCTGACGCACCTGTGAGTCGTCCAGCTCATCTGACGCCGACATGCCGCTCAGGGTCTGCAGCCTGGGAGTGCAGCACAGGGCATGTGGGGGCTGAGGGCCTCAGGGGCACTGCGGGGCTCCGCCTGGCTGGGAGGGTCTCGGGCACTGCGGGGCTCTGCCTGGCTGGGAGGGACACCCACCACTGGCTGACCGTCTGGCGGCCCTCAAAGTCGGGTGGGAGGTGGCTCATGCGGTGCATGGTCTCCATCAGCTCTCGCAGGTCGGGCTGGATCTGAGACACACACAGCGGCTGGGACCCCGACGCCGGCTCCATCCCCTCCTGCCTAGGCCCCCTGCCAGCCCAATACCCGCACCTCATCCATGGCGCGGATCTCCAGGCGCAGCTTGTCCATGACCGTGATGAAGAGCTGGGGGCAGGTGTGCACATGAGGCTCGCGTGTCCACGGGTGCGGGAGGCCCCACGGCTCACGGGCCCCAACCCCTCCTCAGCCACAGCTGTCACTTGGGCCTCCTCACTGTACTCTGTTCCCAAACCCAGCAGGCCTCCTGGGTGAACGAGGTCCTGGCTGCCCAGACAGCTGTGTGGGAACTGAAGGGTGGGCCCACACCCACACTCTCTCCCGAGGCCAGGACCCCGCCAGAACGCACCCTGTGCTCATCCCCCCGACAGGAGTCCAGGTGGCCTGGGGGCGTCCCCGCATGCTGCCCACCCCTCATTCCTAGTTAAAGGGGTTCCCTTCTGCCCAGCAAGTCAGAGTGCTGCTCAGCTCTGGAGGCCCAGGACCCTACGCTCGTGCCCAGCTGCAGCAGGCAGCCTCGGCTCTCCTAACCACGTGCCCTGGGGGCTGGGGCGCACCGAGACCACGTCTGCGATGCAGCGGTTGAGGTTGCCCTTGTCGTCCTTGATGGTGATGGGCCGGTCCTCCTTGATCCGCTCCATGGCCAGCGGGCAGTCCAGCTGTTGGGGGTGACATGGGTGCTGGGGCTCTCAGGACAGCAAGCCCCAGGTGGCCAGAGCCCTCTGGCACCCCATACCCATGCCCGACAGTCTCGCCCCATGGGGGTGGAAGGACCAGGCACTCACGCGGAACTTGCGGCAGAATTCGTCAATAGAGCTGATTTCTGAGCCCTGGACCTGCCTGAAGGCAGCTTTGTATTGGACCAGGAGCCGGGAGCAGGCTGCAGTGTACCTAGGGAGAGGTCAGCTGCTGCCCAAGCATGGGACCAGCCCCACCCAGCTCATCCTACCCCCTCGGCTGGTCCAGAGGCAGAGCAGCTTCCAGAGAGGACCAGGCGACAGGCAAAGGCAGGCCGAGCAAGGAGGAGGGGCTGCTAGTAGCTTTTGGGGGTGAGGCCCTGAGCACGTAGTGGGGCTTGTAGCTCGGCTCCAGGTGGAGACCCCGGCCCCCAACCCCTGCCCACCCTCTGAACCACAGCGACCAGCCCTCTGTTGTGATGGCCGCATCCACAGCTCATGGTCCTGTGCGGTGGCCTGTGACGGTCTTGTCACTTCATTGAACAAAGCCCCCCCAAAAGATCCTGGGACATCCCCAAGCCTCTCGACCGTTTTTTAAGGTTGCCTGTGCTGGGGGATGAGGGTGGGGGAGTGGGCCGGATGACACCCCAGGAGCTGCGCCTCTGCCCGCCTCCCTCACCAGCCCCCAGGACTTCCCTGGCTGAGACCCAGGGGCACCCTCCTCACGCTGGGTGGGCCCCACACAAGTGGGTGCCTCCCAGCCTGACAGACGCCTGCTCTTGCTGCCTATGGAGCACCCAAGCCCCCCAGGGCAGGAACAGACCTCCCAGGACGTGGGCTCTTACTCGCTGGGGGAGACACAGTCCTTGATGTAGGCCTTCTCCAGGGCTTGCATTGTCTTCACCACCGCAAACAGCTCTGCCATGTTGTCGTACCTGAGGACACACCTGTCTATCGGGCCAGGCCCCGGGGTGCCAAGCCTAGAGCCCAGAGTGCTACCCCCTGCCCGGAGGTGCCACTGCGGGCGCTCTGCCCACCTCTTGCTCCATCCTGGAGTGCCTCAGGAACAGTTCCCCAGACTGACCCTGCGTCCTCCCACCCCTCAGTTTGGGGTGGGTCTGGAGGGGCTGCCCCAGGGCAGCCAGATGCGCATGGGTGTGTTGGGACAGCCTGGGCGCCTGGACTTACTTCTCCCTCTCCCGGGCGTTCTTGTACAACTTCACTTCCTGCCGGAGAGAGCGGGCTCTGTGGGCCAGTGCCAACAGGGGCTGCAGGACCCTGGTGAGGCCACACAGGCATTTGCTGTTGGCCAATGCCGGCCGGGTGGGCACCCACCACTCACCTCATACAGCTCCGGCTTGTTCCCAGGGGCTGCAAGAGAAGGCAGAGAGCTGGCAGGCTGGCCCCAAAGGGAACCCAAGGGCAGACTCCAGTCCCAGTCTCCATTTCAGTTCCTCCCTGAGGCCTCCCAGGCTGGGTCCCAAAGAGCCCAGAGGGAGCTGGAGCACAGAGGTTCCAACCTCACCCCTATCAGTGTGTGGGGGGACCTGATGATAACACCTCTGAGAAGCCGGGGGCCGCATGACAGGCCCAGCTCCCCAGCTCCACTGCGGCTCCCCGGGGGACCGCATGACAGGCCCAGCTCCCCAGCTCCACTGCGGCTCCCCGGGGGACCGCATGACAGGCCCAGCTCCCCAGCTCCACCATGGCTCCCTGGCGGAGTCACCTGCACAACAGTGGCCACGCCCTGCTCGTGGCTCATGATGCAGTGCCAACAAGGCTCACCACACACAGCCTCTCCCCTGGGATTGGTGACACAGGGTGCCCAGGACCCCCACCGTTCTGGCCACACCGAAGCTCATCATCTCTGCCCAGCAGGACCAAGCCAGTTCTGTCTGGAGGTTTCTGAGCCCTCAGTGCTCCTGCAATGAACTATTTAGCCCCTGGCCACCCCCAAGGCTGTACGAGAGCAGGGTCAGATACCTCCCCACCCCCGATCCCCAATACCCAATACTGCCCGTCAGCCCCTGCAGAAGCGGCTGAAAGCCTGCGCCCTTCCAGCCACACTCACCTCCTATGCCCGGCGTGGCTGGGATCCCATGAAACATCCTCTAGGCTCTGGGGGGGGCACAGCACTGAGACCTGGGGAGCAGAGCCAGGGCCGACTCAAAGATGGCCCCTAAGCCAGGCGCTGGCTCACACCTGTAATCCCAGCACTTTGGGAGGCCGAGGTGAGCGGATCACCTGAGGTCAGGAGTTTGAGACCAGCCTGGCCAACATGGTGAAACCCTGTCTCTACTAAAATTACAAAATTAGCCGGACGTTGTGGCATACGGTTGTAATCCCAGCTACTCAGGAGGCTGAGGCAGGAGAATCGCTTGAACCCAGGAGGTGAAGGTTTCAATGAGCCAAGACTGAGCCACTGCACTCCAGCCTGGGAGACAGAGCAAGACCCTGTCTCAAAACAAACAAACGAACAACAAAAAAAACCGACAAAAAAAGACAGCCCGTAAGTGCCAGGTCCTGGAGACCCAGGGCTCCATGAAGAGCTCTCCTAAGCTCAATAATGGTGAACACACAGGGTGCTATAGGGGCTACCAGAAAAAGTGAGGTACTATGGACACTCAGGAGAGCGGGGCGGGGGCTGCAGTGGAGTGTGGTTCAAGCTGGAGGTTGAGGGAGGTTATGAGGGCGGCAGGCAGCTGTTTGATGGCCCACGAGGAGAGTTTGGGGCACAGGAAACAACACACTTAACAGCCCGCCTTTAAGTAGGCATGAACTTGGAGGAACCAACAAGCTGAAGGTGCAGCTTCTCGAAAGAGGGGGTCCTAGGGAATGAAGATGGAGAGGTGCCCCTAGTTGGGCAGCGAGCTGTGGAGAAACAATGGGAGCGGGGCCCGTGGGAGGGTCCTGCCTAGCACGGAAGCTGGGCCAGCTCCAGACGTTCTCTCTTTGAAAGTGGAGCCGTCAGATCCGCCGAGGGATTTGAGATAGGATTAAAATAAAGGAGTTACGAACGACACCCCTGTTTTTGGCCCAATGGGCCGGGCAGTAAGATAAACTCAGACGGAGAGGGGAGGAGGAGCGGGCCTGGCGGGCAGGCGCAGGAAGCTCTCGGTGGAGAGGCCCGGGAGAGCAGCGCTGAGCCGGCTAACTGGGAGTGGACGGTGCTACCGGGGATGGGAGAAGAGCAGAAGTGAGGGAAGGCCGCCCGCGCCGAAGCCCTGGGGCGCCCCAGCCGAGGAAGAGCCGGGAAAGGGCGTCGCCGCTCATGTAGGTAGGGAACGTCTGGGTCAAGCTCTCCGAGGGTCGAGGCCATTGCGAGCCGCGGGGTGGGGACCGAGGCTGCTCGGCAGCCGTCACGGAGCCGCCAGGCAGGAGAGCGCCGAGGAGCCAACCGCCCCAACCACGCAGGAGCTTCTGCCTAACAGCGAAAGCGGACGTTCTGCGGCCACAAGCAAATGTGCAAAACAACCTCGCAGAGTGGACAACGAGCAAGGAAAGCCAGTTTCTAGAACATGCCAATAACGTGACTTTTGCGGCGCTCAGCCGAAGCTGTGCCGGGGCCTAGGCGCGCCCAGAGGGTGCCAGGCCCTGAGTCGCCTCTCCCCACTCTGCCCCTTCCCCGCCCACCGGCCGGGCCCCGGGTACCTGGACGGCTCGCGGTCGGGAAGATGGCGCCGGGGGCGGGGTGCGCTCGGTCAGCGACTCGGCATTCGCCCCTCATGTCTGCGCCTGCGCGCGTCGGGGCGACCCCCCGCCCCTCCGTCCCCATCGGCAGCTCGGCGCTCAGCCCTCACGCCTGCGCCCGCGCCCGCCCGGACTTCGGGACATTCCCTCCAGCCGCGCAGCCCCCGGGACGTAACCGGCGCAGCAGACTCGAAGCCCGGTCTTACCCCGCCCACCCGCCTGCCAGGCAGCCACGGGGAGGGAGGCAGCAGCTTCATTTATTTTATTTTTTTTTTTTTTTGAGACGGAGTCTCGGTCTGTCGCCCAGGCTGGAGTGCAGTGGTGCGATCTCGGCTCACTGCAAGCTCCGCCTCCCGGGTTCACGCCATTCTCCTGCCTCAGCCTCCGGAGTAGCTGGGACTACAGGCTTCCACCACCACGCCCGGCTAATTTTTGGTATTTTTAGTAGAGACGGGGTTTCACCATGTTAGCCAGGATGGTCTCGATCTCCTGACCTCGTGATCCGCCCGCCTGGGCCTCCCAAAGTGTTGGGATTACAGGCGTGAGCCACCGCGCCCGGCCAGCAGCTTCATTTATTAGGGGCTTCGGTGAGGGTGGGGAAAGGCAGCGCCAGGGTCAGAGGCGCCGAAAGAAGAGCTTGGAGCCGTGGTCCAGCGTGCACTCGCCGGGGCCCGGCCGACTGGGCTGCAGCTGGCGCAGGGCGTCCCTGTCCTCAGCGCAGAGGCGTCTGCTGCACAGCTGCAGTTCCCGGAGCTGCGCGGCTATCTTGTCCCACAGGCCCAGGCCCAGGGGACCCTGGACGGCGCAGCCTGCGGAGGGGAAGAGGGCAGACCTCAGCGCTGCGGGGGCCGGCGGCGTCCTGGTGCCCGCGGCAGGCTCCAGGGAACAAACTCGCTTTCGCTGAGGGCCCCAGGGCTGTAGCGAGGGGCAGTGGGCAGAGCTCCGGAGAGGCCCCATGACTCTCCAGGAAGGGGTGGGATCATCTGCACAGCCAGCGGTCAGACAGGAGGAAGGGTGGCTCCCTTCTTTACCTCTGACAGTGCCCGATCTCAAAGTCCATGCCTACACGTCAGTCTCCCCACCCATAAGAAGGACATAATGGATCTGCTTGCAAATCTGTACATCGTGGGCCTGAGTGGATCAAGAGAACACTAAGCTCAGGAATTCAGGGAGCTGGGTGGGAAGGTACAGATGCCAGGAACTGAGGTGTGGGGAAGGGGTCTCACACCAGCACTCGGGGGCCTTCCTGGAAAAGGCGGCCTGGCCCTGGGAGGTGAAGGGGAGGGGGCACAGGAAGAAAGCAGAGCCCCGCTTCGTGCACATTCACTTAAGCCCTCATCCCCTGGAGGGCACAGCCTGCCCCGGCCCCAGTGGGGCAAGCCAGGTCATCAAAGCCCTTCCTGGGGTTGTCTTCCAGACAGCTCAGGTTGGGGACTGCCCTGATGTGGCTCAAGAGAGAACAAGCTAAATCAGACCACAGCCCTGGGCAGGGTTGTGTCAGAGGAGCCCCTGCCAGGAAGTAGGAGGGTCCCTTGGCAGCTTTCAACACCCTGACCTTGGGATCCCTTTTCCTGCCAGGGACAAGAAGAAAGTCCCTGTGGAACAGGGTCTTGCCTACCATAGTCTGCTCTGAAGGTTGGGTTGGAGAGACCAGAGGCAGATACCCACCTCGCCCCCTAACCCATGGTTTTAGGAGCTGGGATCATGCCCCTTTTCTGTCACTGTCACTCTGCCCCCTGCTGCCCCAGCCTCATGGAGCCCAGCCTTGCTGCCTGGCTGGTAGCAGTGACAGCCCCTTAGGAGGAGGCACCTGGGTCTCAGGCAGGTCCCTGAAAAGGCCGAACATGGCAGGCGTGGCCACCATACCAGCACTCACCTGACAGGCCAAGGAAGCTAAGGCCTTGGGGCCGCTTTTGGAGGGTGGACAGGAGCTCTTCCAAGCTGGCACAGCTGATCTCAGGGTTGGCAGACAGATCCAGTGAGATGAGTGAGGGGCACAGAGAGAGACATCTGAGATAACATGGGAAGAAGTGCAAAGGTTGGCTTCCAGAGAGGCTGTGCCCCAACACTAGGAAAGCTGCCCAGACAAATGCCAGCTCAGGGAGCCTCGGGCCAGACCCAGGGGCTCTGCCTCAGCCTGGCCCAGTAGCAGGTGGCCCTCTAGGGTTGGGGGTCCTTCCCAGGGGTCAGGGCCACAGTGGCCAGCTCTGGGTGTGCCTGGCCCAGCTTGGGCTCCTCTCAACACTCCCCAGAGAGCTGACTGAGGCTCCAGGTCATAAGAGCAGTGCCCTCATGTGGGCCGAGGCACAGGAATGACAAGGACACCCCCGGAGGAGTGCTCTCAAGAGCCACAGGCCCATGCTAAGAAAGAAGCCAGAGGGTAGTCTGCCTTCCAGGGCAGCCTGAGAGGCTGGTGGAAACCGAAGGAGCCAGGTCTTGGGATGTGCTGGGGAGGAGGAGCTGGTACCATTTCTGTGGCCCTTCTCCCATAGGGTCCAGAGCCATGAGATCAGACCCCCAGGTCAGCAGGCAGCAGGGAAAGGGCGTTACCTGCACAGGTCTCTAACAGCCTTGTCCCCCAGGTGGTTTGCAGACAGGGTCAGGTGGGCTAGAGCACAGCCTTCCTGGACATGAGCAGAGGCCCAAGGGGGCCAAACGGAGTGGCGCACCTGCCCTGCCTGCTTCCCAGCAGGTGCACCACACCCAGGGGCCCAGAAGGGAGCAGAGTCCCCCATCAAGTTGGAGATCGGAAGGAAACACCTCTCCTGATGTGGGTCACACTCTGCACGTGATAGTGTGAAAATAATAGGGTCCCAGTTGTGCCTGGAAGACCCCCCAGGAGAGAGCATCAGGGGCCCTAGTGTGCCCCTTGGGACCTTCCTGGCGGGGGGCAAGATCACCCTGAGTCCCGGGTCCTATCTGGTGGGCAGGAATTCACAGCCTGAGACAGGCAGCTGTACAAAAGCATTCCCCCAGCTGTTTTTTTCTTTTTTTGTTTTTTTTTTGAGACAGAGTCTCGCTCTGTCGCCCAGGGTGGAGTGCGGTGGCGCCATCTCGGCTCACTGCAAGCTCCGCCTCCCGGGTTCACGCTGTTCTCCTGCCTGTCTCCCAAGTAGCTGGGACTCCAGGAGCCCGTCACCACGCCCGGCTAATTTTTTGTATTTTTTAGTAGAGATGGTGTTTCACCATGTTAGCCAGGATGGTCTTGATCTCCTGACCTCGTGATCCGCCCGCCTCGGCCTCCCAAAGTGCTGGGATTACAGGCGTAAGCTACCACGCCCAGCCTGTTTTTTTCTTTTTCTTTCTTTTTTTTTTTTTTTGAGACGGAATCTCGCTCTGTCACCCAGGCTGGGTGCAATGGTGCAATCTAGGCTCACTGCAACCTCTGCCTCCCGGGTTCAACCAATTCTCTGCCTCAGCATCCCGAGTAGCTGGGATTACAGGTACCCGCCACCACGCCTGGGTAATTTTTGTATTTTTACTAGAGACAAGGTTTCACCATGTTGGCCAGGCTGCTTTTGAACTCCTGACCTTGTGATCCACCCCCTTCGGCCTCCCAAAGTACTGGGATTACAGGCGTGAGCCACCGCGCCTGGCCCCCCAGCTGTTTTTTCTAAACCTCCAAACCTCTAACTCTCTCTGTAGAGCCCCTCAGCGAGTTCAGCCCGAATCTGGGGAGAGGCGAGCTCCTCCCAGCAACCCTGGGACCTTTGGCCTCTGAGGCTCAGTATTTTCTGGGTTCTTCCCCACCTCGTACCTTGGCCAGGTATCGGAATACAGGCTCCATGAGGTCCGAATCACCCTTGCCGGCTGCCACGGAGCTGAGCTCTAAGTGCAGGAGGGTGCCGGCGGGCAGGCTCTGCAGGGTCCTGGCCAGGGCAGGGGCTCCCAGGGCGTTGTAGGACAGGGACAGGGTCTTCAGGTGCTCAGCATCTGCACCGGGGCCAGAATCCGTCAGCCCCACGTGGCCACAGCCCTGTACCCACCCCAAGTTCTGGGCCCAGAACCCTCAGGACCCCTTTGGGGAAACCACTACCGCAGTGCTCGCAGGGTGGGGTGGCAAGTGCAGAGGCAAAGGCTCTCGCCCAGATTCTCCCAGCTGGGAGGGCGGGGCCAGACTTCCAAGCTCGGCTGCCCCCAGTTCTGGACAACTTGCCCTCTCCCACCCCACAACCACACGGTCCTGGGCCACATGCCTCTGCACAGTGGGGGTGCCAGGGGAGTGCACTGACCATTGCTGCCCCCCTTACACTCCCCCTGGATGACACCCAATTCCCAGCCTCTTGGCACTGGGACCCCAGTCTCTGCAGCCTGAGTGGGCTCACAGTGGAACTGCCTCAGGCGAACAGCACTCAGCTGGCGAGCACGGGATGGGGACCACAGGACACTAGCTGCCCGGACTCTGCTCTCGGTGTGTCCTGCGGGGGTCAGCCTGGCTGGGTGGGCACCAGACGCCCCTCGGAGGCAGACCCTGTACCCACACATCCATCTATTGCTCCCAGGTGCCAGGCCCTCCCGGAGAGCCAGGTCTGGCATCCCAGGCCCCTAGACGTTGTTTGTTTCGTTTTTTTGACACGGAGTCTTGCTCTGTCGCCCAGGCTGGAGTGCAACGGCGCGATCTCGGCTCACTGCAAGCTCCGCTTCCCGGGTTCATGCCATTCTCCTGCCTCAGCCTCCTGCGTAGCTGGGACTACAGGCACCGGCCACCACGCCCAGCTAATTGTATTTTTAATAGAGACGGCGTTTCACCGTGTTAGCCAGGATGGTCTCGATATCCTGACCTCGTGATCTGCCCGCCTTGGCCTCCCAAAGTGCTGGGATTACAGGCGTGAGCCACTGCGCCCGGCCTAGACGCTTTTTTCTTAAGGGATGGGGTCTCACTATGTGGGCCAGGCTTTCCTGGAACTCTTGGCTCAAGCGATACTCCCGCCTCAGCCTCTCAAGTAGCTGGGACCACAGGTGTTGCCCCTGTGTGCCCAGCCTGGGCCCCCTCTGAAAGTCCTGGAAACCCTCAATGCCCCAGGGCTAGGGAGTGGACAGGGAGTGCCTGGTCAGCTCACCTTGGAAAGCACTACCCAGTGCTGTCTGGTGGCTCAGAAAGAAGCTGGGGCCGAAGCCACACGCCTGCAGGCGCAGGGTGCTGAGTAAGGGGCAGGCGTGCAGGAGGGAGGCCAGGGACTGGCCACAGCCGTCCCCCAGGGGGTTCATGCTTAAGTCCAGCTCCTCCAAACTCTGTGGAAGACACAGGCTGGCAGTGAGCCCCCAGCAGTCCCACGGACAGGGTCCCCCTTGGGGCTTGGCTTGGCAGTCTCTTCCCCACCTTGCCTGGCATAGCCTATTACAGCCGGGCACTGGCTGGCTCTCCCAACTACCCTAGACCACCCAGGGACCTGCAGAATGGGAACCCCAACTCCCCGCTGTTGAGGGCCTGCTGCTCTCTGTGCCTATACCTGCAAGGTGGCTTGGCCTGGGAGCCCCATGGCAAGCTGGCGCAGGCCTTCGGGACCCAGGTGATTGGAGGAGAGGTCAAGGAGGGCCAGGCTGGGCATGGTGCCCAGGGCAGCCACCAGCTCAGCCACACACTTGTCCCCCAGCCGGTTCCCTGCCAGGCGCAGCTCCCGGAGTGCTGTGTGCAGCTTGAGGGCCCGCAGCAGGGGTGTAAGCTGGGCCTGGTCCAGGGCCAGGGAGCAGGCGCTGAACGAGAGGCCCAAGCCCTGGAGCTCCACGGCCTGCAGCACCTGTTGGTGCTCCCCTGCGGGAGGGATGTGATGTCACCAGGGTAAGGCCGGCCCTTTCTGCCCTCTGAATCCCAGAGGGCAAACCAGGCAGCCCCTTTTCAACAGCCCCAGGGGTCACCCACCAGACTTGCTGTAGAGCCCACTCGCACATGCCTGTGGGTCTAGCACTGTGAGGCCCTGGGGGCCGGGGTGGGTCTGCAGCACCCTGAGCTCCACCAGTCACTGCCAGATTCCACACCCCCCGGGACAAGCT